>NC_000021.9:46238295-46392191 GCF_000001405.40 Homo sapiens
CTGACATTTTCCAAATGAGTGGATTGCTGCTTATAGCTTAAAATTAACTCAAAATAATATCCCACTGCCACCTAACATACTCTAGAGCTGTCTACTTCCATATACCGGTCTTTTCAAGAAAAACAATCTTGGCCAGGTGCAGTGGCTCATGCCTGTAATCCCAGCACTTTGGGAGGCCAAGGCAGGTGGATCACCTGAGGTCAGGAGTTCAAGACCAGCCTGGCCAACATGGTGAAACTGCGTCTCTACTAAAAATACAAAAATCAGCCAGGCATGGTGATGGGTACCTGTAGTCCCAGCTACTTGGGAGGCTGGGGCAGGAGAACTGCTTGAACCTGGGAGGTGGAGGTTGCAGTGAGTCGAGATTGTGCCACTGCACTCTAGCCTGGGCAACAGAGCGAGACTCTATCTAATAAAAAGGAAAAAAAAATCTCATCCCAAACCACTTAAATTATAGAGACTGATTTTAGTAATCGGACACATTCATTCACCCTTCCAAAACATATTCATTAAGCCTCCTCCAGATGCTAGGCATCATTCTAGGTACAAGGAATATTGCACTGAAACAAAACAGAGGCCCTGCCCTAAGCAATTTATACTTTAGTGAGGAGAGACAGACAAGGAACACATAACAAGAGAAACATGGTTTGAAGATGAGAAAGACAAAGCAGAGCCATGGAAACAAGAAGGTCGGAGATGGGCAAGCAGGGCCTAACAGAAGCAGACATTTGAGTAGAGATCTGAAGTGAGTACAAGATCAGCCATGGGGATGCTGGGGAGAATGGAGGGGCTGGACAGTCCTAGGCAAAAGGAACAGCAAACTCAGAGGCCCAACTGTGAACTGCCTACCATGCTCAAGGAAGGAGCGGAGGTCAGAGAGGAAATGGGGGGCAGATCACTCAGGGCCCTGGCCACCCCTGCAAAGTTTGCCTTTGATTGCAGGTGAAAGAGGGAAACCACTGAGAGGCTGTAAGCAAGCAAGTGACACGACCTCCATCTTAACTCACTTGAAAGGCACCCACCAGGTCTACCAAGACTAAACTGCAGCCTACTGTAATAATCCAGAAGGAAGATGATAGTGGCTTGAGCCACGTGGTGGCCATGGAAGTCATAACAAGTGGTCCAATTCTGAATGTATTTTCAATAGAGCCAATAGGATATGTGAATGGGCTGATGTGAGGGGATGATTCCAAGGCACCTGATCTAGGCAGCTGGAAGGATGGAGCCGCCATCAACAGAGATGACCACCAAAGGAAGGGGTTGGTTGGAAGAAAGCCGGGAACTGGATTTGGGATATGTTAACTTTGCAGTGGCTACCAGACATCCAATAGGTGTCTAATGAAGATTTCAAGGAAGCAGTAGCATGTTCAAGTGTGGAGTTCAGAGGTTTGAGATACAAATTTGGAGCTGTCAGAATAGTGATGTTACTTAAAAATCCATGAAACTGGATGAAATTTCTGAGGAGTAGGTACAGACGATGCAGAGGAGAGGTTGAGAGAATGAATCCAGGGGGCAGCTGGGGGATGAGGAGGAACCAGCAGGGCAGGAGGGGGACCACGGACATCCTAGGAGCAAGGAGGGGAGGATCAAGTATGGGATGCTACCAAGGACTGGGATTCACGGTCATGTTCAACCCTGGGCCTTCATCCCCATGGGAAAGAAGGCTGAAGAAGTGAGTATCACAAGCGTTTTTGAGGAGTTTTACCATTAAGAGGGCAGAAACATGAAGTGGTGGCTAAAGAGGGAAGTGGGACCAAGACAGGGAGGCATGTTTCATGTCTGTGTGCTGCTGATGGGCACCACCTAATATGGGGAGGGGTGGTAGCACGAGAGAGATACTCATTGAATGAATGTCCTTGGGTAGGTGGGAGATGAGATCCCAGCCCAGGGAAGGGCTGACTGACTACGAGCTGCATGGTTCGTTTCCAGCAACAAGAGGCGTCAGGAAGGGGATATAGGGAGGATGCTGGATGTGGCTGGGAGGGCAGGGAAGGCAGAGGACAACCTGTGGAAGGTCCCTTATTCCTGATTCTACTCAGTAAAATGGTAAACATGGCCATCAAATGAAAGCAAAGGAAAGGTATGCATGGGAGGGAGGGAAGTGGGCAATGTAGAGGAGGGGCAGCCCCAGCTCCTGTCCATTCACAGCATGGGATGATCCACCAATGCCTCAGGCTCCCAAGGGCAGGGTGCCTGTGGCCAGCCATAGTGTTCAGCACTCACCATCTTCTGAGCAGACTTAACCACATGAATTTCCCAGAAAAACTTAACACTGACTTTCAATAATAAATAATAAATGAAATTCACTTCAATATAAACAGTTAGAAACATACTATCTAGGGCACTGCTTCTGTCTTCAAAGAGCTTTTAAATAGTTACATCACTAAAACTGTTGCTAATAATCCACCTGCCCTTCTCCATCCTGGCTGTCTTATATTAATCAAGCAATAACCAGTCTCCCCTCACAGCATAAAGCAGACTAAACACACATGAATTAGAAGGAAGTGGGCTTCACCTCTTGTTCTCTTCTTTCTCCAGCAGCAGACTGCTCGACAAACACTGCGCCAAGAGCTCCTCAGCAGAAGCTCCTCGCATCAGATCCTCTGTGCTGGGAATCCTCCCCTCTTGAGCACACTCTGTGCTCCTCTTCCAGTTACGGTGCATGTGAAGCAATGGTATGGGAAAATTGTTTGCAGAAGGATGAAAAGGCTTTATTGCCAAACTGTAAGTACATGATTTGAAATGTTTATGGTCAAGAGAAAATATTTCTACAGCATCATGTAAAGCATGTAGATACATTTGCACATGTGCATTAACATGTAAGAACATGTGCCTCAGACACATGTGCCCTCCTGGAACAGCTCATGCTGGCCCCATGCCTGCTTCCAAGCTTCCATCAAGTCAGGGAGTGGAGCAAAGAGGGAAGGCAGCCCCTGCACTGTAGGGACCCTTATGCACAGAGGCATTGAGACTGCCTGTTCCTCTTGGAAGCTTCTGCTCTCAAGAGGCAGCTAGGTTTTTGGAGCTTCTCTGCTTCATGTCTTGCTTCCCACCCTAGGGTTCCAGATTCTGTTCTTCCCTAGTATTGGCAAGGTTTTTTATAGATAGCTCTTGGATACATTTGGAAGTAATGTTTACAAATGGTGAGAGAGAAGGCATCTGACATTTTTTTCTAAACACATGCCAATGTTTGTCTTTTCCCCACTAATTTCAATAATTTGGCCTAACACTTTTGTCACATATTCTGACTCTTTATTCTGATCCATTTATCTACTCTGGCATCCCCACATGGTTTTAAGTACTGGAGCTTTACTGTATGTCTTGGTATCAGGCCAAGCAAACCATGTTAGTCTTATTTAAAACTTTCTCAGCAATTGATGCATATTTGTTTATCCTGATGAATTTTAGAACTTACCAGTACTGACATCTTCACAGCATTGTATCCTGTCAACAACCTAGTCTGAACCTCAATGGTTCAGGTTTCCTTTGCACATACAGGCCCTGAGAACTCATATGTTAATGAGAAAGACATTCCGGGAAACCAGGAGGTGAGGAGACCAAGGATTAGGCTCCACTCCTATTATGAAGATGAACAGTTTTTAGAGTATCATGGAGTTGGAGAAGGTACTTCAAGGATCTCTATGGGGAACAAGAAGGAACAGCAAAGTTCCACCATCCTGTGCCCTTTCTGTTCAGGTTTATTGTTGTGAATGAGAATTTTTTTTTTTTTAACATGTTGTGGATCTATCTATCTGATCACCTTATTGAACTGAGAATGGTTCTATGGACTTGACTTTTCTTGGACTGACAACTGTACTGTCTGGAAATGACAGTTTCTCCTTCCTTTCAGTATTTGTGCCTGTCTATCCCACATCCCTGTACTGGTCAGGATTTCCAGGACAATAGTGAATAATAGTCGGGACAACAGGCTGGTTCTGATTCCACTGTTCCTAACATTCTACCAAGAAGCATGTTTTTTTTCTATTTTGGTAGTTTTATGTTAGGTAGCCTTATCAAGTTAGGACTTTTTTTTTTTTTAACCCAAGCTAAAGAAAGTACCCAAAATAAAGAAATTTTATCAGGAACAGGTATAAATTTTAAGAAACGTATTTCAACGCCTGCTAAAATTACCACTTATTTTTCTATTATGGCAACAAATTACATTAATAGATTTTCACTGTTATTGTTTATCCTGGGAGAAAGCATACTTGTGAACTTTTTTAGGTACTGTGCTTTGGAACCAAATTTGGAAGTGAGATGAAATGTCAGCTGTACTCTCCTGGTTAGGTATGATTTCAGGGTCAGGTATGCCTGATAAATGAAGTGAGATGCTTTAACTTTGTTCTAGAATAGTTTCTACTGCATGGGAATGATCTGTTCCTTGAGGATTTGTCACAGTCTGCCCACAGTGGACTGGATTTGGCATGTAGGATGTTAATTTCTATTTACTTTGCAAGAAAAATACAGTTTAGCAAGCAACAGAAACATACTGAACATGAACCTCACCGTCCCTCTCTCAGCTGTAGCTCCTTCTGCGTCTGCAACCTGGCTTGTTCCCACGACAAAGGAACATCATATTTTTTCAAATCGTTTTTAAAAAAATACACACATATCTGACCATCTTCACTCAGCGCCTCTGAGAAAACAATACAAAAACAGATAAAGAGGCCAGCCTGGCCAACCCTGTCTCAAAAAAAAAAAAAACACACACAAAAAAACAAAAACAGGTACAAATAATATTTAAACAGCGACAGGTGGCATGTGCTTAAATTCACTGATTTAAGTGCAAGACCTTTGATTAAAGTCACACAATTATGTGACTTCCACACTTGGGTTAAATAGGCTCCCAGGGTCCATGCATCACTCAAAGTCCAGACAAGCTTACATCGAGACTGGCAGGGCCAGTAATGACTACTCAAAAGCCACAAAATCCTCTCTAAGAGCCATCCTAGGGGGCCTGTTTCAGGGAGGTGAGTTCAGGCTCTACCAGAAACTTCCTAGCCTGTCTCAATGTTTTTAAGTCACTCACTTGAAGAGGGAAGTCCTAAGGAAAGGAAGGATAGAGACCCAAAAGAAAAGCAGCAACATCAACTAAACATCTTCCTTTGCAGAAACTGGACCAGGAAAGTCTCGTGAGGAGCTGATCCCATTGCATCAAGCTCTAATTACCTGATGTAACAGGAAGCCGGGGGGGCGTCCAGTCTCTCAGCTTGTGGTTGATACACAAGGCGATAAGATCATCCCATGGGATCTCCATGACCGAGGGGCCTGCCCCATGGACTGGGGAGGGACTCTTGCTCTTCCACCTACAGTAGGTTCTGTGGAGCAGGTTCTCCACCTGGGACTGGAGGACAGGCTGTGTCTGGCGTGAGCTGGGGATCTGGGAGGCGTACTGGACAACCATGGAGCACACGGGGAGCCAGGGGGCTGGGGAGAAAGTGCCTCATTAGTTACAGGTTTGGCCAAAATACAGGTGAAAATGTACATGAAAACATTTTCTCAGGAGAAGGCAACTGTGAAGTTGAGAAGTCTGCTTTCTAAACACAGCAGAACCACAGTTGTTGAGGGGGAAGAGCAGCTTGCTCCCAGGGTCTAGGTGAGGGATGCAGACAGTCCCCCTTAACAGTGTTGCTAGCCAAGTTCTACCCAGAAGTTCTGACTGTACAGGCCTGTGGTTGTGCCTAGGAAATCTGTATTTTAACAAGCACCCAGATGAGTCTGGTATAAGCAGTCTTAGCTTATTTTGGGGAACCCCAACCTAACCAGAGCACCGAGGGCTTGTGCTGAGTGGTTTGCTTCCCTTTGGGTTCCTTCAATAATGAGCATGAGTTAGACCTACTACAGACCACACACCACAATTTAGAAGGGCGCCTGAGGCCCAAAGGGGAGTGTCTGTGCTAATGCCACAACTTCTGCCAGATAAGCAGCTCATTCCCTTCTGAGTGCATAGGAAGGAGCAGCCCCATGCCATACTGGGCTTGAGCCAGCCAGATGGCCTGTCGGATCTGTGTCAAAACAGCCCAAAGACCTCAGCCAGGAACAGGGGCACAGCCAGAGCCATAGAAGAAGGCCTCTTTGACAAAGAAAGAATGTTAAATCAGCACTGAGTGCCATGGCTGCGGCTTGGGGACAGGGCTACATGGTCCCCATGCTCTTTGCCCCTTGTCTGTTCTGAAAACAGGGACCCTGTGGGCAGGCAGGACAGGATCAGGGTTGGTGTTCCTCCCAGTACCACTTGTCACTTTTCTCCTGAAGCTGAGTGAACTCCCATGGACTGCCTTGCTGGTCAGGAAAGGCTAACAGCCCCCACTCCACAAAACCCAGCTTGTTCTGGCTCATGAACCCAAAGGACCAAAGGAAGGTGCAGGCGAGCACAGCATGGAGACACACGGAGGTGGACGTGCAGCCCTCACACTGGTGCCCAACACCTGCCAGACGGTTACTACAGTGAGAAGGAAGCCTGAGACTTGGCTGCAGCCACCCACCAGACCTCCCCAGGTCAAGCACGTACCCCCCAGGGGTGGAAGGTCCATCTGCGGAAGCTGGAACCCGAGCACAGCCTGCTTCAGCCAGGCCAGGTGCTCTGGGGCATTCCAGTGCAGGTGAGGAAGCAGCCGGCTGCCCCCTGCCTCAGCAAACTCAGTGACAGGCCAGGACAGGTCACACAGCTGTTCAGAGGACACCACAGAAGCCAGGAACTGCAGCACACTGTTAAACAGCTCAATGATGGCGCCAGGCTCCTGAGAAGCAAGACCGCCCAGACGCCTCTCTCTTCTGTCATGGAAAAAGCGGCCACTAAACTCATGGCCAATCCCGTCTTCGACGTACTGAATGAGAGTCTGGCAGCAGAGGTCAAGGGAATGGGGGCAGTGGGAAACCAGCCACTGCACTGCTTGCAAAACCTGAGAAGAAAGAAGAGACTTGGTTGAACAATTCACACTGTTTTTCAAAAACAGCTTTCTGAAAGGGCTTGATCCCCCAAGGTTGCCCACAGCAGGTAATACCAGAGTACTGGGCTCTCAACTGTGGTAGGAAGGGGAACAGAAGTGTCCTATGCAGTTGAGTTTAGCCTTCTAGGGCTCTGGAGACATGTCCAGTAGGGGCACTAAAGAGAGCCCCCAGATCCCACCTGGCCTGAGGAGGAGTGTGACCTGCATGGTTGCCCCATGGAAAGGCCCAGGCCCTCAGGAAACCAGCCCTGAACATCCCCTTCACCATGCACAGAAATGGAGTCTTCTCCTTTTTGGAAGGACTAACAGCTTCACTATGTGCCAAGGTGCCTTCACACCCTATGGTTATCTTACTTCCTATAGTTATTTTAATTCCTGGCACCTCTTTCTCTAAATTGTTAGCAAAGACTCCCCCTGCCCTATTTTTTTTGTTTTTGAGAAGGGGGTCTTGCTATGTTGGCCAGGCTGGTCTCAAACTCCTGAGCTCAAGCAGTCCTCCTGCTTCAGCCTCCGAGTAGCAGAGACTACAGGTGCGAGGAGCCACCACGCCCAGCTTCAGACTTCCTTTTTAAAGGAAACATCAAATAACATTATTTCTTCATATATTCAGAGGACAATTACCCTAGAAAAATAACTTCTGTATCTGACCTTCAGATATAAGACATGTTCATATTTTAAATTCATAGAAACAAAAACACTAAAAAATTTTACATGAACAATTTAATTTGCAGATAGCAGGACTGTGGGCAAATTTTATCTTTTATTTTGATTTCTGCTTATGTTTTTAGAAAGTTATCTGTATAAAACATACAACTGCTGCCAGGCGCAGTGGCACACCACAGTAGTCCCATATACTTGGGAGACTGAAGTGGGAAGATTGCATGAGCCCTGTAGTTTGAGGTTGCAGGGAGCTATCATCATGCCACTATACTGGGTGACAATAAAACCCTGTCTCTTAAGAAAAAGACAATGCAAACGCTAATATACACTCAATTCAAGATACAGCAAAAGGGGAAAAAACAAAATATCTTGACAGACCATTAAAAATGATGAAACCTTACCTTAGTTGAACCTTGTAGATCATTAATGGTATCAGGGATCTCGGTAACAGTGTAATCTGAAATCAGCTTAGCTGAAACCAAGTCCTGTAGCATCAGACCTTTAAGACAGACATAGATGAAGGTCACTTGCATTCTGCTGTCAGCACACCTGCTAACATATCTCACTGTGCTGACCCCACCCAGTCCTGCAGTGGACAGTCACCACAGGGGTTGCTGTCTCAGTGATTCCTGACCCCAACACTACTGGACCATCCTCAGACCCAGGGCCTCCACCCATTTATTAAACAATGCTGCTTCATAAACGAGACTTCCTTCACAAACCATCTTCTACTTCCTTCTCAACGGCGTCCCCTCCTGGGCTAGGCACAAGAACCACCAGAGGAAGCGCAGGCTGGAAGGGCTTAGCCTGCAGGAGCTGCTTGAGCTGCAGCAAGGCCGACAGCCAGTACACGTCCTCCTCTGCCATGTCCTCACTCTTCATTTTGGGGGGAAGCAGCAGCATGAGCCCACTGGCTCCCAGGAGGTCCTTCTGTGTCTCCACAGCATCAATGGCACCATCACTGAGGGCGCCATGGGCCACCTGCAACAGCATCAAGATCATCAGGAGAGATGCACCATGGGACGCATCAGCAGTGACTGATCTGCCCCAGAGCAAGTGCAGCCAAAGCTCTCCGTGCACTAAATACTGACTGTACTCCAGACAGGCCTCCAAGGGCACAGCTGGGCATACCCTGTAGTTATCTTACTTCCTGTAGTTATTTTAATTCCTGGCCCCTCTTTCCCTAAATCCAATTGTTAGCAAAGACTCCCCTCAACCTTTTTTTTTTTTTGAGAAGGGGGTCTTATTATGTTGCCCAGGCTGGTCTTGAATTGCTGGGCTCGAGCAGTCCTCCTGGTTCAGCCTCCTGAGTAGCTGAGATTACAGGTTCGAGGAGCCACCATGCCTAGCTTCAGACTTCCTTTTTAAAGAAAACGTCAAATAACATTGTTTCTTCATATATTCAGAGGACAATCACCCTAGAAAAATAATTTCTATATCTGCCCTTCAGATATAAGGCATGTTCATATTTTATTTTATTTTTATTTATTTATTTTTTGAGATGGAGTCTCACTCTGTCGCCCAGGCTGGATTGCAGTGGCACGATCTCAGCTCCCTGCAATTTCTGCCTCCTGGATAGTAGCTGGGATTACAGGTGCCCACCACCACACCCAGCTAATTTTTGTATTTTTAATGGAGACAGGGTTTCACCATGTTGGCCAGGCTGGTCTCGAACTCCTGACCTCAAGTGATCAGCCTGCCTCGGCCTCCCAAAGTGCTGGGATTACAGGTGTGAGCCACCGCGCCCACCCATGTTCATATTTTAAATTTATAGAAACAAAAATGAGAATAAATGCAACAGAATTAGTGCAAGAAACAGCCAGGTCAACAGGTAATTTAGCCTCCAGCTAGAATTGTGTTTGACCATATTACTATAACTTTAATTAACCTTAAACAGGTATAAAAAAGTTAAAGCTAGGCACAGTGGCTCATGACTGTAATCCCAGCACTTGGGGAGGCCAAGGCAGGAGAACTGTTTGAGGCCAGGAGCCAGGAATTCAAGACCAGCCTGGGCAACATAGCAAGACCCCATCTCTACAAAAATAAACAAAAATATAAGCCCATAATAATAGAAAGAGGGAAGGCAAGCCAGCAGCAGATGAGGGATTCTGATACATTTCTAGAAAGCAGCAAATAGGTGTGACCAATCCCTGGGTTAGGGAAGCAGAGGATGCCATACCTAAAGGCTGCAGATGTGGGTGTGTAAGGAGTCAGGTTGACTGAGCCTGCAAAAGCCCTGTATACCCAGGCGCTGCAGACACCAGGAGCCAAAGGTGAAGTTCAGAGCCTGACCCTATTGGCGGCACCCACCACTGCAGGCAACCTCTATGCAAAACCAGTCCCCCTGGGCCCCTGAACAGGAGTCCTGAGAGGATCCAGATGCAGGGCCATGGTCAGGCACAGTGGAAGGGACTCAGCGCCAAACCACTCCCAACCCTACCCTGAGAATACCAGCAGCTCCCCAGAAAGCAGATGGCACAAGTCCTTTCCAGAAAAACTGAACAGTCTAGGGAACAGCCATCCAGATCCAGACATTTGGGAGTCCCTCCAAAAAGCCTGGCTTGCCATTTAGCTACCATCCACCCCACCCCAAACACAGAACTTCTTGGCTAGCCTTTTAGGGCCTCACTCAGATATAGACAGATAGCCTTGGGTAAGGCATCTGAGGAGGGCCTCCAACATAAAAGAGATAAACTGGAGTAACAGAGAGGAAAAAAAAAAAAAAGAGGAACCAGATAATACGTGAACCAAAGAAAACTTAGACCCCAAAAACCCTAATTTCCTTGGAAAGATAAGATGATGCATCCAAAAAATAAGATGCTATGAAAAAGTCATGATAAAAAGAAAGAGGAAATAAGTAATATATATGGAATAAAAAATTCAGTAGGACAATTGGAAAATAAAGTCAAGGAACTCTTTCAGAACACAGTAGGAAGAGATGAGATTGAAAATAGGATAGAAAATAGGATAAGAAACTCAGAGGATCAATTGATGAGGCCTAACATCTATCTAATAGAAGTTCAAGAGAGAACAGAAAAAAGACAGAGTGTCATAAAGACATGAAAATGTCCCAGAAGTGAAATAGGAGTCTCTAGCCTGAAAGGACCTGCTAAGCCCTGCACAGTGAGTGAAGCTAGTCCAGTGCCAGTGTAACAAAGTGAATTTTTAGGACGCCATGAACAGAGAGAAAAGGCTTCCACAGAGAAAACCAGGCCACACAGAAAGGAACAGGAATGGTACAGCAACAATGGATGCTAGGTGACAGTGGAGCAAAACTGGAAGGCAAATAATTTTCTTTCTTTTGAGACGGGGTCTTCCTCTGTCAACACCGGAGTGCAGTGGTGCGATCACGGCTCACTGCAGCCTCGAACTCCCAGGTTCAAGCAATCTTCCCACCTCAGCTTCCCAAGCTACTAGAACTACAGGCACACACCACCATGCCCAGCTAATTTTTGTATTTTTTATAGAGACAGGGTTTCACCGCGTTGCCCAGGCTGGTCTCGAACTCCTGCACTCAAAACAATCCGCTCACTTCGGCCTCCCAAAGTGCTGGGATTACAGGCATAAGCCACTATGCGCGGCCAGGAAAATAATTTTCTACCTATAATTTTACAAACGTAGCTAAACTATGAAGCAAATGTCAGAATGAAATAAATGCATTTTCTTTTTCTTTCCCCCAGCTTAAGGTATTTTGTTAATAAAATCATTTTCATAATGGAAAAGACTCAGAAAATTCCCCTCGCATGACATATAACATCCAACAAGGGGCTGAACCAAGAAAAAATACTGCAGCTGCTGCTAATGGCAACACTGAGCAAGCACCTGGCCTGTGCCAGGCACTGTCCTGTGCAGTCTGTGTTTGCACTCATTTTATCCTCAAGAGCCAGATGAGCATCTCCACCAGACAGCACCTGCAGAGGCTTGGGCAGTTTATTTTACCGTCTCTGAGTAAAATAGGGATAATAAGTAACAGTACCCATACACAGGTGGCAGAGACGCTAGGGAACTTGCCCAAGGTCACAGAGCTTCCAAGTGGAGGAGCAGGGACACATATGCTCACAATGATGGCACTAAGGCACATGTTGCCTGGATGGAGACCAGCCCACAGATGAGAGTTCCAGGACAGAGGGAACATGGATGGATCAAGTGAAGTGACAGAACATTTGGAAAACTCTACCGAGATATATACGGCCCCCCAGTAAAATTAAAGAGATAAAGAGAACTACATTAAGTGAGACAATAAGGCAACTCTATTTCTTGCAGGAAAAAAATAATTGTGGTTATAGAACACTACTGGTTCTGAGGTGAATAGCAGTCACAGAGCCATCAAAATATGACCCCACTCACTGAAGTAATACAAAGTGCTAGTGTAGCTATCCCGGGAAGACGTGGAAGGCCGAGCAAGGACCATGGCACAAGAGGCCACGCTGTACCTAGTATGGTATGCAGTGGCCAAGAGGACCCCCCTGATTCCACCTAGTGTTCATGCCCACGTGTGATCTCCTGCCCCGTGAGCTGGGCCTAGCCACTCACTTCTGACAGACAGAAGCCAACAAAAGCAACAGGATGTCACTTCTAAGTTTAGGTTATAAACACACTCAGACTTCCATCTAGGCTCACCTCTTGCTCACTCTGATGAAAGCCAGCTGCCATGCTGTCAGCTGGGGAGAGGCCCATGTGGCAGGAACTGAGGAAGTCTTTGGCCACAGCCTGCAAGGAAGTGAATCCTGACACAAGCTCACTAGAGTGAGCTGGGAAGTAGATACCCTTCAGTCAAGCTTTCAGATGAGGCCACAATCCTAGCCAACATTTTCATTTCCACCCATGAGAAACCTTGAGCCAGAAGACCCAAGCTAAGCTACACCTGGATTCCTGACCCACAGATACCATGATAACAGACATTATTTTAAGCTGCTATGTTAGGAGTAATTAGTTATTTAGGAATAAGGTAACTAATACATTTATATTAATGGGAAGTCAGCAGAGAACATTTAAATGGATAAACTGAGAAATGGCTGTGTAAGTGTGTGATCTGGAAACAGGAGAAAAATGCAGCCCTGAAGAAAGGAGTTAAGAGAGGAAGGAGGAGCTACTATGTCTCATTTTAAATCACGTGGGTGGCATTATTTGACTTCTTTTTAAGTACACGGAAGTGTTACTTTCTTAAATGAAAATGAAGGTAACAGCAGCAGTAAACTAATTTCCAGTAGATGAAATGTGACTTTGTAATCCCAGGAAAAGGGAAGAATTTGCACCAAGAAGTTACTGTTACCTCAGAATGGCAAGAGCATGGATGGCTCTTATCATCATCTTTATACTTCTTTTACATTTCCTCATTTTTTAAAAGTTTTGTGTACATATTACATTTAGGAAATCCAATATATAGTATTAAAACAGAAAAAGTAAAGAAGCAGGCTGGGCTTGGTGCCCACTACTCAATTTGACTGGCTTAAAAAAATTTTTTAAACGACATGTACGGACAGACATAATACTTGCTTCTGAGCCTCCCAGTCTTTCAAAACCACATTAGGGAATAAGCAGTATTTGCATGGTTCCAGTGATATCTGGGAGTAAGTGAAAGTAATGAAAACACAGAAGTAAACACAAAGTAATTATAGTTCACCTTTATACACACGTTAACAGAAATCATCTGATCCCCTTTGCTGCTAAGTGAGTTGAAAAGCGAAAGCGTCTGAATCCCACCAGCATCGCTGGATGTGTCATCCACTGAGCCTTCATCTCCCATGAACTTGACTTTTAACCAATTTGCTAGAATTCTACAGATTTAAAAAAAACAAAAAACAAAAAAAACACTTGAAGAATCTAATTCTATATTTGAATTATAAAGACTTTCAGGAAAAGAAGAAAGAAAAATATCACACAGACCTAGGTCCACAAATACCACATCTTACTATGAAGCTGATCTGCACAAAACAGGCTGTTGTTTTAAAATGGAGCAACGATCTGTACTCGTTCTTTTTTTTTTTTTTTTTTTTTTGAGCCAGGGTCTCGCTCTGTCGCCCAAGCTAGAGTGCAATGGCACAAACTTGGCTCACCGCAGCAAGCAAACCTGCCTCAGTAGCTGAGACTACAGGCACGGGCCACCATGCCCAGCTAATCTTTCCATTTTTTTTGTAGAGTGTCACTCAAAGGGTCTCACTATGTTGCTCATGCTGGCCTCAAACTCCTGGGCTCAAGCAATCCTCCCTCCACAGCCTCCCCAGTTGCTGGGATTACAGGCATGAGCCACTGCTCCCGGCTTCTACTTGTTCTTAATTGGGCAGGAGGAGGGGGCACTCCATTCCATTAGAATGGAACTGGCTCATTCTAATGTGACTTAAAATTCTGAAGCATTAAGATTTTCAGCAATAGAAAACATCCCTAGAGTTTGAAATACATGTTTTTTACAGATCAAATTTCTCATACCTGAGACCTTAAGAATTCTTAAGTGACATACGAACTTAGCAAATGAGAAGACAGCTATTTTAAGAAATGACTCACCAGCTGGGCGTAGTGGCTCACGCCTGTAATCCCAGCACCTTGGGAGGCCAAGGCAGGTGGATCGCTTGAGCCCAGTTTGAGACCAGCCTGGGCAACATCACAAAACCCTGTCTCTACAAAATATATACAAAACTAAGCTGGGCGTGGTGGTGTGCGCCTGTAATCCCAGCTACTTGGGAGGCTGAGGCAGGAAAATTGCTTGAACCTGAGAGGTGGAGGTTGCAGTGAACAAAGTGTACCACACGCCAGCCTGGGCGACAGAGTGAGACTCCATCTAAAAAAAAAAAAAAGAATACAGGCTTTCTAAGTGAAAAGGTGTTCTGGAATTATTAACAGTGATGGTTGCAAAACCCTGTGAATATATCTAAAAATCACTGAAATGTACACTTTAAATGGGTGAAGTTTATGGTATGTGAATAACATTTCAATAAAGCTATTTTAAAAATAAACTGTAAGCCGGGTGTGGTGGCTCACGCCTGTAATCCCAAAACTTTGGTAGACTGAAGCATGCAGATTGCTTGAGCCCAGGAGTTCAAGACCAGCTTGGGCAACATAGTGAAACCCCATCTTTAAAAAAAAAACATTAACCAGGCATGGTGGCACACGCCTGTAGTTCCAGCTACTCAGGAGGCTGAGGTGAGAAGATCAGTTGAGCCCAGGAGGTCAAGGCTGCGGTGAGCTGTTATCACACCACTGCCCTCTAGCCTGGGTGACAACAAAGCAAGACCCTGTCTCAAAAAAACACAGAGACTGTAGTTGCTTTAAAAATATGACTTCTGTATGCTATGTGGTTACAGAAAATAAGATCATGTCAATTTTTTCTTTTTTAAAATGCCAAAAGTTTCTTTAAGGGGAAAAAAATGGAACTATAGTAAACAGACTATAAACTATCTTACTGAAGAGTCTAAAATGAAGCAGGTCTATCAATGTACCTTAACACAGCTTGAAATAACAATCAACTCTTAAATGCTTTTGGTCTAAGACTGTTGCCAAGTAATATGGTTTGGATTTGTGTCCCTACCCAAATCTCATGTTGAACTGTAATCCCCAATGTTGGAGGAGGGGCCTGGTGGGAAGTGATTGTATCATGGGGGTGGAATCCCCCTGGCTGTTCTCATGATAGTGAGCTCTCACGAGATCTGGTTAAGTGTGTGACAACTCCCCCTCACTGTTCTCATGATAGTGAGCTCTCACGAGATCTGGTTAAGTGTGTGACAACTCCCCTTCGCTGTTGTCATGATAGTGAGCTCTCACGAGATGTGGTTGTGTGACAACTCCCCCTCACTGTTCTCATGATAGTGAGCTCTCAACAAGATCTGGTTAAGTGTGTGGCAACTCACCCTCGCTGTTCTCATGATAGTGAGCTCTCAGGAGATCTGGTTAAGTGTGTGGAAACTCCCCCTTGCTGTTCTCATGAAAGTGAGCCTCGCGAGACCTGGTTAAGTGTGCAGCACCTCCCCCTTGCTGTTCTCATTACAGTGAGCTGTCACGAGATCTGGTTGTTTAGAAGTGTGTGGCACCTCCCACTTTGCTGTTCTCATGATAGTGAGCTCTCACGAGATCTGGTTAAGCATGTGGCATCTCCCCCTTCTCTCTCTCTTCCTCCTGCTTTGGCCATGTAAGACATGCCTCCCTCCCCTTAGCCTTCCACCATGATTGTGGGTTTCCTGAGGCCTCCCCAGCCATGCTTCCTGTACAGCCGAGCCAATTAAACCTCTTTATAAAGTACCCAGTCTCAGATATTTCTTTAAAGCAGTGTGAGAACGGACTAATACACCAAGTTTATGGAATAAAAATTGAAATAATCAAATCTAAAGTTTCAACTTAAAATCATGAGCAAAACAGACTGTAAATCCAAGCATTAAAACATAAACCTACACTTCCGAGTTCCCATCACACATAAGAGGAATACCCGGCCCTGGCCCACAACCCTGCCCTGCCCACTCCACCTCTTGGAAACCCCACAGGGGAAAACCCTTCCTGACCTGCCACAACTCTCTGGGGACTGCTCCTCTACATCCGGCAACACCAGCACCAGCTTCCAAAACACATGCTCCTGCCTCCCAGGGAGGTGCTCAGCCACGAGGGATGGCAGGTCCAGAGACGCCCATGCCACATCACTGGGAGGAACAGACCACCGTGGATTAGCCAGTGTGTGAGACCCTTGCAGGAGCAGCACACACATCCTATGAGCAGGAAGGGGCAGGTTGGAGGAAAATCAGGTTCAGAGATTGAACTGCAAACTAGAAACCAAGTCTGGAGCTCATCGAAGAGACCTCAGTTGGAGATGCATGAAGGGGGCTGCCAGTGTGACAGATTGGGGAACGGGGATCACCAGGGGGTGCGCAGAAGGGTGCAGCATGACAGACCTCAGCAGCTGCTGGTAGAAGTGCTGAACCTTCATCTGGTGAGCTGTCTTGTTTCTGAGCCGCCTTAACCTGCAAAGGAAAGCAGAATGACAGTGTCCCCGCAGGAGCTTAGTGAGAAGTACTGGCTAGTGTCCCCTGGGGAATACTCAGGAGACTGAAAAACACATTTTCTGCCAATGAAACGGGTTAGAGGATTCCTTCATTCCACAAATATCATGTTAAGTATCCACTGTGTGCTGGCTATGGGAGATTCAGCAATAAACAGACAAAATCCTGCCCTTTGAGAACATAGGCTCTAATGGGGAGAGAACAGCATCTCTAAGTGGCTGGCCTGGCATGTGTGAGGTGTCGGCACTGTGGGCAAATGCTGCCAGGTGGGGCTGGAGCCAGGCAGGGTGCGTGTTGCAGTCTCACTCAGGGTGGTCAGGTGATATGTGAGCAAAGACCTGAAGGAAACAGGGGGAGCCAGCGTGACAACTTCTGGAAACAGCAGAGGGCATGGCTATGCCAGGCCATAGCTGGACCTGGTGTGTTTGGGGAGAGCAGTGAGGGCAGCGAGGGAGGGGTTGGGTCCACAATGCAGAGACTCGGGGAGCGCTAGGGACGCCGCCGAGAGGCAACGCCACCTGGCTGAGCTGTTGGAGGATCCCTCTGTTGTGGTGCTGAGGACACGATTGGGGCCCAGGGTGGAAGCTGGCAGACAGGTGCTGCAGCAACATTCCAGTGAGGTGGAGAGAACTGCCATGCCCTCGGTGCTGGGTCTGAGAGAGATGCAAGCCCAGGTTTGTGCCCTAAGCGCAGGAGGACAGGACGGCATCCTATGAGCAGGAAGGGGCAGGGTGGGGAAAAATCAGGTTTAGAGGTTGAACTGCCAACTGGAAACCAAGTCTGGAACTCAGGGAAGAGGCCTCAGTTGGAGATGCATGATGGGGGCTGTCAGTGACAGACAGGGGTGACAGGGCTATCACCAGGGGGTGCGCAGAAGGGCAGAGGGCAGAGGTCTGGGCTGAGGGGGCAGGGTGGAGGGCTCAGACAAGGAGACTGAGGCTGACAAGGGCAGCTACGGAGGGGGGACACAAGAAGCCATGACTCCAGGAGAAGGCCAGGTCACTATGTGAAGGCAGCCATGGGTCAGAGGAGCCAGGCCCAGCCCTGGCCTCACAGCATGCCTCCAACAGGCTGGGACTGCCACCCCACTGCCGGCGCAGAACCTGATGGGGCTAAATGAAACCCACAAGACAGTTTTCAGAGGGAACATCCAGTGATGACCAGGAGGAGGACAAGACATGACATGAGGCCCCAGCGGTGTGCCTGCTAGGCCCTCCAGGCTGCCTCCCCAGTCCCCACCCACTGGGAGGCCAGGGAGCCCTGAGGCCAGGCAAGAGGTGGCACCTACATGGGTTCTAAATAAAGGCCAAGCCCAGCATGGCCAGGAATGCAGGCTGAGGGGGGTCCTGGCATGGCCCTGAGGAGCCGGTTCTGCTCGGGGTAACCAGGAGGAGTGGCAGGGAGGACCAGGGCCACACCAAGGGGCCTCAAGAGGGAAATAATGGAGGGTGGAGGTGGAGTCTGGAAGATGCTGCCACAGAAAGGGGGCAGTGTGTGAAGGAGACGGCGGGAGGAACAGAGGGATGGGGCGGGGATGGGATCGGAAGACACAGGCCAGCGTGGACCTCCGGCTCCTCCAACAAGGATGGAAGTGGCAGGTACTTAAACTGGGACGAGCAGGAAAAGAACACGTGATGCAGAGTCAGACTCAGGCACCAGGACGCTGAGTCTTTCAAGGTGAACTCAGAGCTCTGCTTTGCCAGTGGAACAAGTCACATGTCCACAACTGTGGGAGACAACCTTCAAAATGCAACCCTGTGCCTGTCCTCGCCTCCAGGCTTCACCTATCTTCGCCTCCAGGCTTCACCTATCTTCACCCTCCAAACACACACATTAATTCCGCTCCTGGTAAAACCAAGTGGGGGCAGGGGAGCCCTGACGAGGCAGGCGACAGCTGATGCTGACCTGGTGCAGGAGATGCCCAATCTCCCTGCATGGCCCAGGTCCAGGAGGCCCCTGGCCAGGTTCTCTTCAGCAATGGGGCACTCTGCGCTGGGCGCCAGCGCCCTCAGCCGGTCGCTCACGTCCACGCAGCAGGGCGCAGCAGGGAAAGCCCGCATTTGGCGCCTCAGTTTCTTGCGGGCTGTGACAGCTTCCCTCCACCTGGGGACATGAAAATGTATCATCACAGAGTGTTTTCAGGGTCTTCAAACTGAGAAACACATTGCAGTCAGAACTCAGGCATGGGGAAGGAAGGACATCAAATGAGTGTGGTGAGCAATGAAACTACCGAACGTTAACAGTTAATACTGAATGAGCTTTGGAGGCTGACTTGGCAATATGGATACAGATTTAAGATACATATACCCAGCTGGGTGCAGTGGCTCACGCCTGTAATCCCAGCACTTTGGGAGGCCAAGGCGGGCGGACTGCCTGAGCTCAAGAGTTCAAGACCAGCCTGCGCAACACAGTGAAACCCAATCTCTACTAAAATACAAAAAATTAGCCGGGCATGGTGGTGGGCGACTGTGGTCCCAGCTACTTGGGAGGCTGAGGCAGGAGAATCCCTTGAACCCAGGAGGTGGAGGTTGCAGTGAGCCGAGATCACACCACTGCACTCCAGGCTGTGTGTACCAGCAAGGCTCCGTCTCAAAAAAAAAAAAAAAAAAAAAAAAAGATACATATATCCCTTGACCCACAGCCACCACTGATAGGAATTTATCTCCACACACGTGCCTGTGTGCAAACGGGTGAGATGTCTGTCTGTACAACAACAGTCACTGCAACAGTCTTTACCAGAGCTAAAAAGAGCTACGTCCAGGCTCGGTGGCTCACGCCTGTAATCCCAGCACTTTGGGAGGCCGAGGCGGGCGGATCACGAGGTCAGGAGTTCGAGAGCAGCCTGGCCAATATGGTGAAACCCCATCTCTACTAAAAATAAAAAAAACAAAATTAGCCGAGCATGGTGGCGCACGCCTGTAGTCCCAGCTACTCAGGAGGCTGAGGCAGAAGAATCACTTGAACCTGGGAGGTGGAGGTTGCAGTGAGCTGTGATTGCGCCACTGCACTCCAGCCTGGGCGACAGAGTGAGACTCCATCTCAAAAAAAAAAAAAAAAAGAGCCACATGAAAGTCCATCAACAGAAGACCAGGAAGGTCATTTATGGTACATTATCGCACTGACCTCAAGACCACTGGCAACGGGGACAGCTCAGCATGCTGCTACAGCCAAGCCTCCACCTCATATCAGATGGAGCAAAGGAAGGCTCAGAGCAAAGCAGGGATCATGAGCCCATCTGTGCCAAGAGCCACAAGAAAGGACAGAAAGTCTCTGGATGGTTTCGCAAGCAGCTGCTGCTCGCACAATGGACAGGGGTCTGTTGTAGAAGGAAGACTCACTTCTCCCCATACTCCCTTTTATACTGTTCCAACTACCAAGGACACTATTACTGATTTTAAATTTTATTATGAAATGAATCATACAACATACGTAACACATATATGCCCAGTTATAAGATTAATAAATCATCAAGCACCTGTGCACTTACACCCAGTTGAGAAGTTGTGGCCATGAGAGGCACCACCTCCCATTCCCAAAAGTAACCACTATGCTGAGATTATGATCATTATTTTCCTTCTTTTCTTTAGGGTTATACCACTATATATAAATCTGAAACAACCTATTTAGTTTGAATATACACTATTTGTATATTCCCTATTAATTGCTTTTTCTCCACTACTTATATTTTGAGAATTCACCCTTATTGGTGCATGCAGCCATAATCTGGCTTGTTCATAGCTGTCTCCCAGCACCTAGTGCAGTGGGCAAATGGCAGGCACCCTATAAATATCAGTTGACATACAGAGTAGCCACCACGTCCCAATCTAACTCCTGACTTTTCCCCTTATATTGTATGTGTGTGTGTGTGTGTGTGTAATCAAGTATTTCTGAAATGCAGTATAATCCAATTAGTCTATTTTAGGTATTCATTGCTATAACATTTTCCCTCATCCTTTTACCACTGAATACAGAAACTAATAGCTCATATATTTTGAATTTGTTAAAAGACTCTTCCCCGTGTGTGTGGATTTTGCCTGTAGGAACACAGGACTCACCGCTGTAGATACTTGCAGAAGCACTGAAGCTCCTGGAGGGTCTCCTTTGCAGTCTGGAAGATTTCCTCCACGAGAAACAAGTCCA
This sequence comes from Homo sapiens, assembly GCF_000001405.40. Lineage (NCBI taxonomy): Eukaryota > Metazoa > Chordata > Mammalia > Primates > Hominidae > Homo > Homo sapiens. The sequence continues at coordinate 46,259,024 of NC_000021.9, forward strand.
CTAAGTGGGCACAGACATCCTCACAGCAACGGGCCACACGGACCCTCTGGTCTGTCTCTACTGCATTCCTAGAAACAGGGCAATCAGCATGGAAGACACTGCACTTGGGGCCCACAGACACTGAGGGCTTGCTTGAAAAGTGCAAGAGTCAGTCAGGCGCGGTGGCTCACGCCTGTAATCCCAGCACTTTGGAAGGCCGAAGCGGGTGGATCATGAGGTCAAGAGATCCAGACCATCCTGGCTAACATGGTGAAACCCTGTCTCTACTAAAAATACAAAAAAATTAGCCTGGTGTGGTGGCGGGCGCCTGTAGTCCCAGCTACTCGGGAGGCTGAAGCAGGAGAATGACGTGAAGCCGGGAGGCAGAGCTTGCAGTGAGCAGAGATCGCGCCACTGCACTCCAGCCTGGACGACAGAGCGAGACTCCGTCTCAAAAAAAAAAAAAAAAGAAAAGTGCAAGAGTCGGCCAGGCACAGTGGCTTACACCTGTAATCCTAGCTCTTTGCGAGGCCAAAGCAGGCAAATCACTTCAGGTCAGGAGTTCGAAACCAGCTTGGCCATCATGGTAGAACCCCGTCTCTACTAAAAATACAAAAAATTAGCTGGCGGCCAGGCACGGTGGCTCATGCCTGTAATCCCAGCACTTTGGGAGGCCAGGGCAGGCGGATCACGAGGTCAGGAGATCGAGACTATCCTGGCTAACACGGTGAAACCCCGTCTCTACTAAAAATATGAAAAATTAGCCAGGCATATTGGCAGGCTCCTGTAGTCCCAGCTACTCAGGAGGCTGAGAATGGCGTGAACCCGGGAGGCGGAGCTTGCAGTGAGCCGAGATGGCACCACTGCACTCCAGCTTGGGTAACAGAGTAAAACTCCATTTCAAAAAAAAAAAAAAAAAAAAAATTAGCTGGGCATGGCGGTGCATGCCTGTAATTCCAGCTACTTGGGAGGCTGAGCTAGGAGAATCGCTTGAACCCAGGAGGCAGAGGTTGCAGTGAACCCAGATCACGCCACTGCACTCCAGTGTGGGCGACAGAGCAAGACTCCGTCTTTAAAAAAAAAAAGTGCAAGAGTCTGCATCCTCAGTATTAAAATGTAATTCTATCTTCATTGTAAAAGAAGCTTTAATACTTAAACTACAGACACCTAGAAAGACAGGGTAAAAAGAATTAAGTGGAACAGGGTGCCAAATTATAGGTCCATAGGGGCCCTCGTAACAGTTAAGAAATAAACCTTTATCTTAATAAAATAGTCAGAATTTTTAATTATTTTAGAGACAGGGTCTCACTATGTTGCCCAGGCTGGAGTACAGTGGCCACCACAGGTGCAGTCATAGCACACTACCTGGAACTTCTGAGCTTAAGTGATCTTTGCACCTCAGTCTCTTGAGTTGCTGGGACTACAGGTGCCTGGCGTAGAATTTGTAAATTACCATGCAGACAACCACAAAATCTTCTCATCAGCAACATCTGACTTGTGCAATCAATTGGAAGTGTCTCAAATATATGATAAATGCCAGTGGCTAATAAGGATGGCTGACTATGATCATGTGGTGGCAGCCCTCATATAAAAGAGAATTTTTTATAATAAAATTCTATTAGCCAAGGGAGCACAGAGGACTGCATCAAATACATTTGGTCACAAAATCAAAGTAGCTTAGACAGGCAAGATCCATTTCCAATAGCCCATCCTCAGTGGTGCAAGACACAGCCTAGGGCAGAGCCAAAGCTCACTCTCCTGGCACAGCAAGACACCAGCGTTTCACTTACTTCAACTCCTGGGAGCAGGTTTCCCTCACAAACTCCATCATCACGCGTTCCATCAGCTCCACGGCCAGGCCCTGGCTCAGCTCACTTAACACCAGCTCTCTCTCTTGTTTCAACCTACAGGGAAGAGAAAAAATACACAAGGGTAATGTTTAAGAATAAAAATAAGTGCTGTTTGTTTTACTCCCTGGCCACGCAGACAGGGATTGAGGTGTGCTGCCTGAGTCGGTAGGCCACCCCTACTCCAGCTCCCCTGACACCACCTCCCTTCCCCTGCCTTTCCTGGCTGGGAAGGGCCACTGCTCACGGGTAGGTGTGGCCTGAGGAGCTCCATCCACCCCCTGGGCTGAAGCATAGGAGGGCATGAGTGGGTCAGCAGGGGTGGAATGGTAGCACAGTGGACAATAGCAGGAGCATCGTGGCTAGGGTCAGTTCTTGCCTGTGTCCACACTGAGCTCCTTATTCGGCTGCATGGACAAGACACACTTACCTTTCCTCTTCAGCCCGCTGCCTCTCCTGCTCCCTTCGCTCTCTTTCCTTAGACACTTCTTCAGCTGCAATGTGCCTCAAAATGCCCGTGGTTGCAGCTGTTAACAAATCCTCCATAGCAGCATTAGAAACACTAAACGGAGCAAAGGGGATAGCATTCAAAATCAGAGTCAAGGCCGGGTGCGGTGGCTCACGCCTGTAATCCCAGCACTTTGGGAGGCTGAGGTGGGCGGATCACAAGGTCAGAAGATCAAGACCATTCTGGCCAACACAGTGAAACCCCATCTCTACTAAAAATACAAAAATTAGCCAGGCGCGGCAGCACACGCCTGTAGCCCCAGCTACTCAGGAGGCTGAGGCAGAAGAATTGCTCGGACCTGGGAGCGGGAGACTGCAGTGAGCCAAGATTGCGTCACTGTACTCCAGCCTGGGCGACACAGCGAGACTCTGTCTCAAAAAAAAAAAAAAAAAGAAAGAAAAATATCAGAAAAAAGCCAAGTCATTGACAAGGGAAAAAAAACACACAGGTTGAGTGTCCCTAATCCAAAAATCTGAAATCCAAAATGCTCCAAAATCTCAAACTTTTTGAGCACAACATGTCATGCTTTTCAAAGGAAATGCTCATTGGAGCATTTTAGAATTCAGATTTTCAGATTTTTAGGTAAGAGATACTCAACTGGTACATATAATACAAATATTCCAAAATCCAAAAATATCTGTCATCTAAAACCCTTGTGGTTCCAAGCGTTTTGAAGAAGGGATATGCAACCTGTACTTGTTTGGCTGCCAGCAGAAAAATTAAGCCCACTGTTAGAAACACACCATCTACCAAAACTGACTCATGAAGAAACAGAAAAATGTGAGTAGACCTATAACTAGTAAGGAGACTTCCAAACAAAGAAAGGTATGAGACCAGAAGGTTTCACTGGTAAATTCTATTAAACACTAACGAAAAACTAACCACCAATCTTTTTCAAATCCTTTCAAAAAACTGAAGAGGAGGGAATATTTACTAACTCATTTTATGAGGCTAGCATTGCTCTAATACCAAAGACAGACCAAAGACACTATAGGAAAACTACAGACTGAGCAGGCACAGTGGCTCATGCCTGTCATCCCAGCATTTCAGGAGGCTGAGGTGGGAGCACTGCTTGAGCCCAGGAGTTCAAGACTAACCTGGGCAACATAGAGAGACCCCATCTCTACAAAAAATTAAAAAATTAGCCGGGTATGGTAGCATGCGCCTGTGGTCCTAGCTACTTGGGAGGCTGAGGTGAGAGGATGGCTTGAGCCTAGAAGATCAAGGCTGTGGTTAGCTGTGATTGTGCTTCTGCACTCGGGTCTAGGTGACAAAGTAAGACCCTGTCTCAAAAAAGAAAAAAAAAAGGAATAAAGAAATAAAAAGGAGGCCGGGCGCGGTGGCTCACGCCTGTAATCCCAGCACTTTGGGAGGCCGAGGCGGGTGGATCAGGAGGTCAGGAGATTGAGACCATCCTGGCTAACACAGTGAAACCCTGTCTCTACTAAAAATACAAAAAATTAGCCGGGCGAGGTAGCGGGCACCTGTAGTCCCAGCTACTCGGGAGGCTGAGGCAGGAGAATGGCGTGAACCCCGGGGGGCGGAGCCTGCAGTGAGCCGAGATCACGCCACTGCACTCCAGCCTGGGCGACAGGGAGACTCCGTCTCAAAAAAAAAAAAAAAAAAAAAAAGAAATGGAAAACTACAGACCAATATCCCTCATGAATATGGATATAAAAATCCTCAACAAGGCCAGGTGCGGTGGCTCACACCTGTAATCCCAGCAGTTTAGGAGGCCAAGGCGGGCGGATCACGAGGTCAGGAGATCGAGACCATCCTGGCTAATAATGGTGAAACCCTGTCTCTACTAAAAATACAAAAAATTAGCCAGGCTTGGTGACAGGTGCCTGTAATCCCAGCTACTCGGGAGGCTGAGGCAGGGGAATCGCTTGAATCCGGGAGGTGGGGGTTGCAGTGAGCCAAGATTGTGCCACTGCACTCCAGCCTGGGCGACAGAGCGAGACTCCGTCTCAAAAACAAAACAAAACAAACAAACAAAAAAACAATTTAACCTAGGAGGCAAAAACTTTATACGTTGAAAACTACAAAGCATTGTCGAAAGAAATTAAGAATGACCTAAATAAATGGAAAGACATCCCACATTCTCAGATTAGAAGATTTAATATTGTTAAGATGACAATACTGGCCAGGTGCAGTGGCTCATGCCTGTAATCCCAGTACTTTAGGAGGCTGAGGCAGGTGGATCACTTGAGGCCAGGAGTTCGAGACCATCCCTGGACAACATGGCGAAAAGCATCTCCACAAAAAATAAAAAAATTAGCCAGGCTGGTGCCCACCTGTAATCTCAGCTACTCGGGAAGCTGAGGCAGAAGAATTGCTTGAACCCAGGAGGTGGAGGTTACAGTGAGGCTGAGATGGAGCCACTGCACTCCAGCCTGAGCAACAGAGCAAGACTCCATCTCAAAAAAAAAAAAAAAAAAAAAAAAAAAAAAAGATGACAGTACCACCCAGAACAATCTACAGATTCAACGCAATCCCTATCAAAATCCCAACAGCACTTTCTGCAGAAACAGAAAAACTCATCCTAAAATTCGCATGGTATCTCAGGAGACCCCAAATAGCAAAACCATCTTGAAAAAGAAGAATGTAGGGGAAAATCTTCCTGACACTGTATCTGGCAATAACTTATTGGATTATGACTCCAAAAACGCAGGCAACTTTATGAGAGGAAACTTCTGGAGGACTGGGTGCAGCTCCCCGCAGCACGTAGCAGGAGGGGAGCACGAGATGCCACTCACCCCAGGGCGGCAGCTGCGTAGGCAGCACCCGCAGAGCCAACTTCCTCACAGTCCCTCTGCAGGGCCTCCTGGATGAGCTCGTCCACCACCTGCGCCAGGTCCTGTGGAGAGACCAGCATGGGGTGTAATGGAACGTCCCACCCAGGGCAGAAATGCTGGGTAACATGTTGTCACCGGACAGTCTGCAGGCGTCTCGTGACAGAAGCACAACCCCTGACACGGGGTCGGCTAGGCTGTTGCAGGAAAGGTGTCCCCTAGCGAATGGAAAGGTGCCATCTGGAGAGGAAGGCGCCCTGCGGATGGCCACACAGCGCCCTGGCCTAGCCATCTCCAGTCTACGTCAAGCAGCCTCTGTTTCTGTGACCACTCTATGCTCCCCCTAAGCACTCCCTGATCCCCAGATGGGCTGGTGCCCAGTGCCTGCCCCGAAGCAGCCAGAGTGGCACAATCCAGTCTCACAACCATGGAGTCGACAGGCTCTACTCAATATCAAGGCACCTGTCGGGACCATGCCCACCCTGAGGCCACAACCATCAAGGGGCACATCCACCCCCAGGCCAGGCTGGTCAAGGGGCTCACCCACCCCCAGGCCATGCCCATCAGGGTGCACAGCCAGAGACCACACACACCAGAGGGGACACGACCACCCCGAGGCCACGCCTATCAGGGGGCACAGCCACCCCAGCCATGCCCATCAGGGGGCACACCCGCCAGGGGACACGCCCATCCCAGGTCACACCCATCAGTGGGGACACCCAACCCCAGGACATGCCCTTCAGGGGACACACCCACACTCAGTCCATGCATATTGGGGTCCCATCAGGGGGACATGCCCACTCCAGGCCACACCCAAGGGGACACACCCACCCAGGCCACACCCACCAGGCGGACACGCCACCCCAGGTCACACCCATCAGGGGGCGCACAATGCTGCCAATGATCCCGTCAGGAATAGACGGGTGTTGAGTTCAGACACACGGGCTCAGGCCGGTGCTGTGACAGGAAGCTCCTGAGATGAAGACGGACTCCAGAATGAGCCTGAATAGGTGGGCCCTACCTGAGGCTGAGTGACTCTAGGCAGGACCCCTCTCTGGACTCTCCTGAGAGACCAGGCGCCACAGCCCCACCTCATGGGGTGATGACTAAGGACGTTTGCGCACAATGGGCTTCCCAGAGTCCAGACCTAGAAAAAAAGAGTCCCTACCTCGTCAGAGTACATGGGCACGGGCTCTGGAGGCGGTGGTTCAGGCTGCACAGACAGCTGGAAGAGGCTGGGCGCCACAGACGGGGTCAGTGCCAGGACAGGAGGCAGAGGCACTGGTGAGGGCGCAGGGGCTGGTAGAGACTGTGGGAGACTGGACAGGGGTGCATCCGGCTCTACACCACACTCCTCTCCTCTCCCTCCGCCTGGAAGGAAACATACAGGACAAAACATAGCTGCAGACACAGGGTGCCTGGCACCACGGGGACCGAGGTCTGTGCAGGGACAGCCCCAGGCCACCCACAGTGACCCTGAGGACTGGCCTGCCCTCCAGGAGACCAGCTACGTGGGACAACATACGCTTTGCATGAAAAACAAGCCCCAGGATGTCAGGGAGCCAGGAGGAGGGCTTCAAAGCCCTCAGTCCACTCCCAGTGAGAACCATCTGAGCATGAGGAAGAGCCACACCCCTGGGCCCCAAGACAAGACAGGTGCTCAGGCTCCTGGGAGGCGTCCTGGCGAGAAAATGCAGATGCCCAGGCTCCTGGGAGGCGTTCTGGTGGGAAAATGCAGCTAGTCCCCTCACTACGACTGCAGCTTCACTCACCCACTGTGTCGGAGCCGGGTCTCTGGGTGCTGACGGGCAGCTCCGCGGCCAGGCTCTCCCCGATGTACTTGTTCTGGGAGTTGAAGCTGCACACAGGGGTATGACGAGGGACGGGGGGCAATGGCCCTCCGTTCACAATTTCCCCGACTGACACCGTCAGCTTCCTAGTAATAAACACCGACTTCCTGGTCTTGGATAATCCCTCTGGTTCCAGGAATGCAGACCGGTTCAGCTCCACACAGCTACCCAGACCACAAAAGACCCCCGAGGGGTGTCACCAGGGGAGAAGACAGCTTCGCCCTCAGTGCCCTGCCGAGTACTGCAAGCCCCTTGGGTGTCACCACAGCCATGTGTAAATAACAGAAAGCACAGGCGCCAGGTCCCACTGCCGCCCACCCTGGAGCCTCTGTAGGTCCCTAGAACCACTAAGCCCAGCGTGTTAACAGACGCACGCTGACTCACTCCTGCCTCCTTGCTGGCTCACCCAAAACCGTCTAATTTTCTGAGGACAGAACTGGAAGGAGGAGACAGAACTAGAAGGAGACAGAACTGGAAGGAGGAGACAGGCAGGAGGCAGGTGAGGAGTTAGAGGAGACAGGGTGGGGAACTAGGCACCGGGTGTTGAGTGTAAGCTGCCAGTTTCTGAGAGAGCGTCTGTGAGTCTCACCACTCTGACTGGTAAGTACCGGAGAAGACTCCGGCTGGCCTGCGGGTGCCTCCATCCCAGCCGTCAGAGGTTGTCCGTCATTGGCTGGCAAAGGCAGTCAAGGGAAAGAATAAAGAAGGCCCTAACTTTTATCTTTAGGTTTGTCAGCAAGTCATGAAAAGGACTGATTTTGGAGTCACAAAGAACTTGGTCTGAGCCCTCAATGTGCTGACAGCCAGGATGTGACCTTGGGAACACCCCCAGCCATTCTGAGTCTCGTGTGTTCACCTGCATGGCAGAGGGAATGCACCTTCTTCAAGTCAGGCAAGCAGCCAGCCCTTCACAGCCCTTCATCAGAATTAACAAGAAAAAAGGAGACAGGGGCCCCACAGTTCCATTCTCAGCTCTTACCCGTCGGAAACGGTGAGGCCGTGGCAGGTGAGGAAGTCGGTGGCCTCTTCACAGTCTCTGAACAGCAGCATGCGCACCACACCATCCAGGGGAAAGATGGTAGATCGCTGTGTGCTCACCGTGTACGCAAAGTTGAGCGCCCGGAGAGCATCCTTGCGGATCTGAGAGGAGGAGCGAAATCACTGCAGTCTCAGACGAAGGCCCAGTCAGACACATGCAGTCAGCCCATGACCACAGCCATGGCCAGCGTGGGGCACATGGGCTCCTCCTGGGCTGAGTCCACCAGAAGGCGCTTTGGCAACACGGAACCCAAGCTTAGAGATCATAGGCGGTCTGCTCAGGGGCAGTGCTCAGGAATGCGTGCCAAGCAAACACTCTCATAGAGAAGGATGGCTTGTGAAGGTTTTATTCATAAGAGAAATCATGAAACAAACTGTCCATCAACAAGACCAGGTGAAGTCAGCTGTGCAGCATCCACATGACAAAAGGCCAGGAAGGTGCTGCAGAGGACCCCGGAGACCATGGAATGCCAGCAGGAAACCAATCCCGTGGAATGACATATAATAGTTGGAGACAACTGTTCACGGCATTCTAACAAGAGCCTTAAAAAAAAAAAAAGAAGACAGAGACCAGGTGCAGTAGCTCATACCTGTAATCCCAGCACTTTGGGAGGCCAAGGTGGGAGGATCACTTGAGCCCAGGAATTCAAGACCAGCCTGGGCAACATAGCTACATCCTATTCTCTATAAAAAAAAATTTGTTTTAATTAGTGGGGCTTGGTGGCATGCACCTGTGGTCCCAGCAACATGGGAGGCTAAAGTGGGAGGACTGCTTGAGCCCAAGAGGTTGAGGCTGCAGTAAGCCTTGATCACACCACTGCACTCCAGCCTAGGTGACAGAGTGAGAACCAGTGTCTTAAAAAAAAGACAATGGGGCTGGGTGTGGTGGCTCACGCCTGTAATCCCAGCACTTTGGGAGGCCAAGGCAGGCGGGTCACTTGAAGCCAGGAGTTTGAGACCAGCCTGGCCAACATGGTGAAACCCCATCTCTACTAAAAATACAAAAATTAGCTGGGTGTGGTGGCACGCACCTGTAATACCAGCTACTAGGGAGGCTGAGGCAGGAGAATCACTTCAACCCGGGAGGTGGAGGTTTCAGTGAGCCGAGATCATGCCACTGCACTCCAGCCTGGGTGACAAAGTGAGACTCCATCTCAAAAAAATAAATAAATAAAAATAAAAGTAAAAATAGACAAAGGAAAAACATGAAAATCCGAACAAAAATTCTGCTTGAGTGCTGGGACTTTGGTACCTAAGCTGTTAGTCCTCTTCCGATGTTCTTTAATTCAACCAACACTGATCAAGCATTTGCTCTGTGCCTGGCACCGTTTTTAATGCTGAGAGTACAACAGTGAACAAAAACACAATCCCTGTCCCCACATAGCTGACATGCCAGGGGAGAGACCAATGCCACAGAAAACAAACACATCAAACACACAGAATGGTGATTTAGTGCGGCAGATGGGCAGGGAGAGCAGGGAGCGCTGGTGGGGGCCCTGCTGAGGGCGGCAGCCAAGCCTCGCCTGGCCTCAGGGAGGTGGAGACAGCGCCGTGCGGCTCTGCGAGTGTGGAACAGCAGTGGAAACAGCAAGCACAAAGCCTCTGAGCAGGAGTGCACAGGGCTGCGGGGACAGGAGGCTGCCTCTGTGCGCCACTGCCGGTGAAGAGCTTTTCTAAAGAAAAATACCCGAATATCTCTTTTGTTTAAAGTTATTAAAAACGGCCAGGCAAGGTGGTTCATGCCTGTAATCCCAGCACTTTGGGAGGCCGAGGTGGGTGGATCACCTGAGGCTAGGAGTTCGAGATCAGCCTGGCCAGCATGGCGAAATCCCATCTCTACTAAGTTAGCTGGGCGTGGTGGCGGGCTCCTGTAGTCCCAGCTACTGGGGAGGGAGGCTCAGGCAGGAGAATCACTTGAACCCAGGAGGCAGAAGTTGCGGTGAGCAGAGATCATGCCACTGCACTCCAGCCTGGGCAACAGAGCGAGACTCCATCTCTAAATAAATAAATAAATAAAGTTATTAAAAATGGTCAACATTCTACTAACGCTCAATCATCGTGTATACAACATTAACTATGTTTTATTTTTGTTTATTTTTTTTGAGAGGGCCTCTGTTGCCCAGGCTGGAGAGTGCAGATCTTGGCTCACTGCAGCCTCAACTTCCTGGGCTCAAGCGATCCTCCCACCTCAGCCTCCTGAGTAGCTGGGACTACAGGAGCATCCCACCACACCTGCCTGGCTTTTTTTTTATTTTTAGTAGAGACAGGGCCTCCCTATGTTGCCCAGGCTGGCCTTGAACTCCTGAGCTCAAGCAATTTTCCCACCTCCCAAGTTTGCCAAGGTGCCAGGATAACAGGTGTGAGCCAAAGCACCCAGCCAATATTAACTACAAGTGGCAAGTTGTGGAAAACCTTTTCATTTACTCCAGAATATCAGTTCTGTTTGGCAACCTGCAGATCTGACAAGGAGCAAACCTGCAAAAGACCTTCTGACTGTGACATGACTGTGGGTTTAGTCACTGTTTACAGGAGGCCCTGATGTGTGACCAAAGAAATGACCTGGAGCCACAGATCAACCAAGGCAGGTCCCAGGATCTCCCAGGCAGCATCCTCCCCACGCTGTGGCCACTACGGGCTTGTGGCAAGGAATCCTGGCAGCCTCCTTGGAGCCGCTGCCAGAATGGGCAGCAGAGTGTGTGCGAGGTGAGGTGGCGCTCTGTGCGGTGGGCCGCGGTCCTGGTCACATTGCACTGAACGGAATCATGCAGGGCCTAGAACAGCAGGTGCTACAGGGGCTGCTCTGTCCTCATCCCCAAGTTCCGTGGAAGTGGAACAAAATAACCGACTGGAAACCCCAAGACACAGTTTACTCTGCGCAAACCCCAGGGGAGGGACTGGCCTTCCCATTGCCTCTGCAACCCTAGCACACGGCAAAGCACAGACACTGAGGCACCCACTGAAAGGAACTTAGCGCCATCAGCCTCACTCCAGAAACTTCGATTTAAAACATGAAGCATTTCAAAGTCAGAGATTTTGTGCATATGATATGAGATTTTTGCTTTTTAGTTAGCTTTCATGGATGATGATAGTGCTGAATTCAACCTATGTTTTCCCAAAGAGATTTTTCTTATTTGAACCATGGAACAGTATTTTCCATTGCACAGCCTTTCCGGATGGTGACCAACAGTGATAACCCCTATAAAACAGGGCAACACCGGTAACCCCTTCGTGGGGCTGCTGCAAGGGTGACACAGCATCAGCCTGAGACCTCCTTTGAAAAGCTTGGAATAAGAAAGCACCCAAACAGCACAAGAACCACCTGCTTTCTTCCAACTCTGCAAGCACAGCTCATTTACTCACCTGACTGAAGTAACAGTGTAAAAGACAAGCGTTCAGGTAAGAAGCTGACTGGACCAGTTTGAAAAATCTCACAAAATTATTACTGTTCAATGCAGCAAAAGCCTGAACAGCAAATTTCACCTCAGATGAGTTTCTAACAGCAGGATGGAACTGTTGTACTTCTCTGTTAATTAAAGGAGAGAAAAGGGGTTGGAATGTTATTTTAAATAAGACAAAATTTTCATGAAGATAGATCTGATAAATAATAGATTTCACTGGCCAGATGCAGTGGCTCACACCTGTAATCCCAAAACGTGGGGAGGCCAAGGTGGGAGGATCGTTTGAGCCCAGGAGGTTGAGGCTGCAGTGAGCTGTGATCGCATCACTGTACTCCAGCCTGGGTGACAGAGCAAGACCCTGTCTCAAGTAATAATGATACTGGATTTCAACCATACTGAGAAGGAGGGTCTTACTGGTGAAATGTGCCGTTAAATTCATAGTTTACTAACTACCACGCTTGGATTGGTTTGACAAAGGTTTCCTTCAAAACAATAATGAATAGAATAAACAAATTCAAAAAGCAATTTAGGAATCAGTTATCAAAAAGTTACTTTAAAGTAATGCCAATGGACTGTCAGCTGTGCTGGATGGTAAAGTCTAAAAAACAGAAAACTTAACTCTTTTTGTTTAGAAATGAATTGATTTTGACTGAATTATTCGTGATGGAGAACAAATGCTTGTCACGTAGAAAAAGACAATACAGCAATCTTTCATAACCAGTTTAATTTTTTTTTTTTTTGAGACAGAGTACTTGCTCTATCACCCAGGCTGGAGTGCACTGGCACAATCACAGTTCATTGCAGCTTCAACCTCCTGGCCTCAAGCAACCCTCTCATCTCGGCCTCCCAAAGTGCTGTGATAACAGGCCATGGGCCACCACACCTGGGTTTTTTTTTTTTTTTTTTAAGAGATAGGGTCTTGCTTTGTCACCCAGACTGGAGGACAGTGGCATGATCACAGCTTACTGCAGCCTTGACCTCCTGGGCTCAAGGGATCCTCCCACCTCAGCCTCCCCAGTCGCTGGAACTACAGGCACACATCACCACACCTGGTTAATTTTATTTATTTATTCATTTTTGTGGAAGGGTCTCACCATGTTGCCCAGGCTATACAAGGCTTAATTTTAAAATTTAAAATCAGCCGGGCATGGAGACTCTAACTGTAATCCCAGCACTTTGGGAGGCCGAGGCAGGTGGATCACCTGAGGTCAGGAGTTCCGGACAAGCCTGGCCAACATGGTGAAACCCTGTCTCTACTAAAAATACAAAAAAATGAGGCGGGCATGGTGGTATGTGCCTGTAATCCCAGCTACTCAGGAGACTGAGGCAAGAGAATCGCTTGAACCCAGGAGGTGGAGGTTGCAGTGAGCCAAGATCGCACTACTGTACTCCGGCCTGGGCAACAGAGCAGGACTCGGTCTCAAAAATAAAATGAAATAAAAAATTAAAATCAACCACACATCTAGATATTCTGTCACACAGTTCTTGAGGAAAATACAAAGAAAAAAAAAAGAGGTTCACCATTGATAGGGGATTCTTAGAACTAAAGGGGACACTGTCCACCATAAGTCCAGCTTAACCACAAGCAGAGGGTCCACCACAAGCAGAGGGCCAGAGAGCTCGCCAGACTTCGCATGTAAGTGACTAATTATGGATCAGACCAGGGTTTTACATTCATTCATTCTCACTACCCCATTCTTCGCATTTTTGTTTTACATAATTTTTTCCTCTCTTATTCTGAGATCTTTGACAAAACTATCTGGGAACAGGGAACTGCTAACAACCTTGCAGGGCACCTGGAACTCCCTCTCCTGGTTCACTCACCTGTCTCATGAGGAGGATTCCTTCCTCATTTTCTCACTGGTGAGGAGAAACTATTTTCAGAAATGAACATGTGGGGCCTACGTCAGATGTGCTGGTCCCAGGGCACACCCCCATCGCTCTTCCCCCAGCTCAGCTCAGCCGACTGCAAAGCCAGACCAAGGTCCTCTACTATCATCCCAACATCTGCTACCAGACAGAATGCTGCACTATTGGCTACTGCCACTCCTGAAAGCTCTTCTCCTGTTTAAAGCCTGCCTTTTCAGCCACCTTAGGACAACTTTTGGATGTGAAAATTCACCTTAGGATGTCTCCCTTGTTGAGACTGAGCAGAACATTGTAGCCCTGGAACTCCGCTTCGCTGGCACAGAAGACACCCTTGTTTCTCAGGTCCTGGTACATCTCCTTCAGGCTCTGCAGGCACTTGGTCATGTTCTCATTATTGATCTTGGCATCAAAGGAGGACATGGGCTCCTCACACATGAAGTGGGCACAGTGGATGTGAAACCGGGTGCACTTCTCAATCAGGGACACCGTCAGGGGGTCACAGAGGTGCTGCTGCGTGATATCCTGGCCACAGGCGAGGGGGAGGATCACACACACATTCCCATGCAAAGAGGCAACCGTGAGAAGGATCATGCTACGACCTCAATTTCTCACTTTTCAATTTGAAACAAAGCCCATGATGCACATTTTAATAGGACTTTGTAGTGACTTAAATAAAAGTCCTGGGGTTTGTTTTTTTTTTTGAGACAGAAGCCAGGCTGGAGTGCAGTGGTGTCATCTTGGCTCACCACAACCTCCGCCTCCCAGGTTCAAGCAATTCTGCTTCAGCCGCTCGAGTAGCTGGGACTACAGGCGTGTGCCACCACGCCAAGCTAATTTTTGTATTTTCAGTAGAGATGGGGTTTAACCATGTTGGCCAGGCTGGTCTCAAACTCCTGACCTCAGGTGATCCACCCACCTCGGCCTCCCAGAGTGCTGGGATTACAGGCCTGAGCCACTGCACCTGGCCCACAAAAGTACATTTTTGTTACAGATAAAATATATAACAGAGTAATAAAAATATCAGTTTGACTTTGGAATTTGCGTGGATTTTTTAGCATCCAGGTTGGAGGCAGCCAATACCTTCCGTATGCCACGCGTGCGGTTCCACACGAAGTCATACCAATCCCGCAGGCTGCCCTCCTTCTGGTCCATGATCTGGGTCACCAGGTAGTCCATGGTCCTGCTGAGCACTGGCAAGGGCCGCAGCTCGTGGGGCAGGGGCTCCTCCTGATCCGCCGAGGACCGACTGTACTCTTTCACAGCTGCTGCGTGGTCCACCTAGAGACATGAAGCCGAGACAGGATGCCCATGTGGCATACCTTGGGCCAGGCATAGTTATGCCTGAAAATGAGGGGGAAAATCACATACACACCCACACAAGATCAGTATTTGAGAATATATTTTTTCAACATAAAATTTCTGTTAAAAGGTGACAATCAAAATTCAAAGACAAATAGAGAAATTTGATTTTGGCAAATATGACAAGGAGTTAAGATATGAGTGCGTCATGACAAACAGGAGGAATGTTAAGTGAAGGCACATCTGCTAGCCTCCAAAGCAGAGAGACGGGACAGGGAAGGGCCTCAAGCACTTAAAAGGTCTCAGGCCCGCTCACACACCAGATTAAGTCTACACAGAGCAGAAGTGAAACAGAGACAGGCGGTGAGGACTGCTGAGGACACAGCATCAGGGGCTGGCTGCCCACCTGGGGCCTGGAATTGCATCTCCCACCTCAAAAGGAGGCTGAAGACGTGGCCAAGGGAAGAGGCAGAGATGTACACAGGACAAGGCCCTGGGCATGTGCCTCTCCTGGGGCAGGGGCCCTACAGTGACACGAGTTGCTGGGCTGGGGACCCCGCACCAGGCGAAGGGTGTATAAAGCCACCAGCCAGGAAGAGGAGAAGCCCATAAGCAAAATTCACAAAGTCCAAAAGGATCTATATTGGTGCAGCTTTCTGGGGCAACAATTTGGGAAGATACATGGATAATGTTCAGGAAAGGTCATACCCTCTGATGCAGTAATTTAATTCTTAGGATCTGAAGAAAATAATCTAAATACCAGAGAAGCATTACATACAAGATGCCAAACAATATTACTAATAGAACTAAAAATTTAGAAGCAGCCTATCTACTAATGGTAAAAATGCAGAGTTTTGACAGAGCTACTAATAAAATAATATGCTGTCATTTTTAAATGCTCATAGTTTACCCTAACAAAGGAAAATGTTCATGACATAATTTTAAGTGGAAAAGATACACATAAAATTGTATCTAGAGCATAATCTCGAATGTGTAAAACATAAGCATAGAAACAGACAGGAATAAGATCGTAAAAAGAAAAAAGTTAGCTGGATGTGGTGGCTCACGCCTGTAATCCCAGCACTTTGGGAGGCGGAGGTGGGCAGATGACTTGAGCTTAGGAGTTCGGGACCAGCCTGGGCAACACGGCAAGACCCCATCGCTGCAAAAAATAAAACAGTAACTAGGCGTGGTGGAGCATGCCTGTAATCCCAGCTACTCTGTAAGCTGAGTGAGAGGAGAGGATCACCTGAGCCTGGGAAGTTGAGGCTGTAGTGAGCCATGATTGGACCACTGCACTTCAGCCTAGGTGACAGAGTGAGACCCTGTCTCAAAAAAAAAAAAAAAAAAAAAGAATTTGAAAAACAACTTTATTTAAAATAACTTGCATCTATACCTTATCATGTATAGGTACCAATTACAGAGTGAACATCTCACAATGCAAAACAGCTTAATATGATTGTTAATAGCACAAATACCCAACACTGTCTAAAACAAACACCCAAATCAAGTATGTACAGAAATGACAAAAGCAGCCCCGTCCCCTGCCCACACTCCACGGGGAGATGCAGGGCTCTACCTGGTCAGTCCCTGGGACCACTTCGAACACGCTCAGCTGGCTACGGGTCTCCCGCATGTACCTCTCCTTCTCAGGACACATATCCAGGCAGGTGCCAACAAAAGTCCTCGCTTTGTCCAGATCGGTTCTCTTCACCCGAGCTAAATGACGTCAAGTAAAAGGTAAGAATGTACCACATGGTTAGCACGAACCTACAGAAGTGTATTCTCATAATGATAAAAAGAAATTAAAACTTAAAACACACACACACATTACAAAAGAAAAGAAAAACATTTGTAAAACTCAGAGCCTCAGACAAAGAGGACTTATGGTCTATTATGCCAGGCAGTGGGACATCAAAGCTCCCAAAGACCCGAGTCCACCTCTCTCTAACAGTCACAGACCCTCACTGCAGACTAAGAGAAAGACCCCCGAGTCACCTCTCCAACAGTCACAGACCCTCACTGCAGATAAAAGCAGGGGAGTGTCCTCACTTTCAGCCGGAGTTTTCTAACTCCTGTAATGACCTCAATGACAAAAAATCATGGTGCAGGATGTTTACTAAAAGGATTGACTTGTAACAACTGCAAATATTCAAAATATATCACTATTCTAAAACTGTCTCAGTATTCACCATGACTTTAATATAAGAATCATATAATGGACGTTAACTGGGTTCTTACCTGAATGAGTAAACTGCTATTACACTTAAGTTACAATGTAGCTTGCAAGGAAAAGGAAATGCAACAACTTCACACTCAAAATATATACTTATTGTTTTCATGTTGAAAAATTCTAATACCTGGGCCCGGCCTGGTGGCTCACGCCTGTAATCCCAGCACTTTGGGAGGCCAAGACTGGCAGATCACCTGAGGTCGGGAGTTCGAGACCAGCCTGACCAACATGGAGAAACCCCATCTCTACTAAGAATACAAAAATTAGCCGGGCGTGGTGGCGCATGGCTGTAGTCCCAGCTACTCAGGAGGCTGAGGCAAGACAATCACTTGAACCCGGGAGGCGGACGTTGCAGTGAGCTGACGTTGCGCTCACTCTGTCATGGTACTCCACCATGGGTAACAGAGCAAGACTCCATCTCGAGGAAAAAAAAAAAAAGAAAAATTCTAATACCTAATAATAATTTTTAGAATATAAAAATCACTGTATCAATGATATGATGTTTGATGGCAGCTTTTATTACTATATGTTATTATATTAAGGAAACATGGTGATTATTCAAATTATCCACAGCTTTTAAAAAGAGGAAACTCCTATAGCTGATTTTTTTTTTCTTTTTGAGATGGAGTTTCGCTCTTGCTGCCCAGGCTGGAGTACAATGGCACAATCTCGGCTCACCGCAACCTCAGCCTCCCGGGTTCAAGCCATTCTCCTGCCTCAGCCTCCCAAGTAGCTGGGATTACAGGCATGTGCCACCACGCCCGGCTAATTTTGTCTTTTTAGTAGAGATGGGGTTTTTCCATGTTGGTCAGGCTGGTCTCGAACTCCTGACCTCAGGTGATCCACCAGCCTCGACCTCCTAAAGTGCTGGGATTACAGGCGTGAGCCACCACGCCCAGCATTTTTTTTTTTTTTTGAGACAGAATCTCACCCTGTTGTCCAGGCTGGAGTGCAGTGGCACAATCTCGGCTCACTGTAACCTCCACCTCGCCAGTTCAAGTGATTCTCCTGCCTCAGCCTCCCAGGTAGCTGGGACTACAGATGCACACCACCGCACCCAGCCTGCTTATTTATTATTTATTTATTTATTGTAGAGATGGGGGTTTTGCCATGTTGGCCAGGCTAGTCTTTAACTCCTGACCTCAGGTGGTCCCTCATGCCTCAGCCTCCCAAAGTGCTGGGATTACAGGTGTGAGCCACCATGCCCAGCCCGGCTGAAATTTAAGAGAAAAAAATTGGCTAAGAGAAGTACCTGTGTTTTTTCCTTTTATTTTTGGTCCCTGCATATATTTTTAGTGTTAATGGAATACTTACTTTTTAGTAGGTAATACATTCACACAGTTCAACATTGTAACAGTGTAAGAATGCCCTGTCCAAGACGGAGCACTCCACCATAACCTCTGCCCCTCGGAATCCCGCTCCCTCTACAGACAGGAGCCCATTCTTTTGCATCCTCCCACTACTATTTTATACATACATTAGCAAACATATTTGCACATTTATGTACACATACACGCAACACTCACTCCAAGAAGACAGGCAGACTATGAAGATCAGACACAGCATATCACAGGCTCTGAGACTCAACAGCAATAGAGCCCAATGGAAAGGAGTTGCTCCTGCCCTGATGGCACCCAAGATGACGACCTCACCAGGCCCCTAGAACCTCTGCCACCAAGTGCCATACCTTGCCGCATGATCCTGTCTCTCTGGTCAAGCAGGCGGTACTTCTCCTTGGATGTCTCAGCCACAGTGCCTATCAGGGTACTGAGGGAGAGCACACATGGCCCGAGGCCCTCGGAGCCCTCGGAGGCTGAGTCAAAAGAGTCTCCCTCGAATTGGTGGGCCTTTAGAAGACTTGGCTTCTTCACTGGAGAGCTATAAAGTAAACACCACACTGAGGGCCCTCGTCCCAGGAAGGCCTTCAGAGCATTTTCATTTCTGAACACGTCCCCTCATCTTTCAAGATTTTCTGGTCCTCTAAAGCTGAGAAACTACAAGCACTGAAATGAGATGAGTTTTGATAAGGATGGTAATGAGCACAAAAGCGTTATTCACATTACTCACTGACTTTAATATAATTTTGAAATATTTCATACTTTTGAAAAACAAAATAGCCTGGGCAACATAGGGAGACCCCATCTCTACAAAAAATTTAAAAATTAGCCGGGCATGGTGGCATGTGCCTCTAGTCCCAGCTACTCGAGAGGCTGGGGTGAGAGGATTGCTTGAGCCTGGCAGGCAGAGGTTGCAGTGAGCTGAGATTATTACACTGCTGCTCTCCAGCCTGGGTGACAGAGTGAGACTCTAACTTACCACCCCCCGAAAAAAAAAAAAAGATAGGCTCATTTAAACAGCTAAAATGAACACTTACTGATTTCTATTTCAAAGAAATAAACTCAGCATGAAAAAAGTCTTTAATATCATAAGGAAATATTAAGCCTACATGTTTTAAAACAGAAATTATTTTGGTAGAAGGACATACTAAAAGGAATCAGGCATTCTCTCTCAGCTTCCCCATTTTCTAGCTTTCATCATTTTCTGAACTTGAATGTCAAAGATTATGTCAAACCAGCAACTAAACTGCTCGTCACAAAACGGAAAGTGAGGAAAATACATTGGCCAAAAGATGAAAAGATGGATTCAGCCGGAGATCTGTCAAAGTAGGCCTGGTGTGAAAAGCAAAAGCCTTTGAGAACAGAGTTCCCCAGACAGACAAGGTAGCCAGGGCACTTCACATCACATGCCGGTTAACACAACTAACATGGCCGACCGTGTCTGCTTCACTGTGATAAGCTGCACCTGCAAAAAGTCATGCTGCCCTTCCTTTAGGAGACAGCCTTTTTTTTTTTGAGATGGGGTCTCGCTCTGTTGCCCAGTCTGGAGTGCAGTGGCGCAATCTCGGCTCACTGCAAGCTCCGCCTCCCGGGTTCACGCAGTTCTCCTGCCTCAGCCTCACAAGTAGCTGGGACTACAGGCACCTGCCACCATGCCCGGCTAATTTTTTGTATTTTTAGTAGAGATGGGGTTTCACCATATCAGCCAGGATGGTCTCAATCTCCTGACCTTGTGATCCGCCCGCCTTGGCCTCCCAAAGTGCTGGGATTACAGGCGTGAGCACTGCGCCCGGCCAGGAGACAGCTCTTCAGGAAAAAAAAAAAAAAAAAAGTAATGCTGGAAACTGCTGAAAGTGATTATTAGAAATGCATGGTTTGGCCGGGCATGCATCTCTAGTCAGGAGTTCGAGACCAGCCTGGCCAACATGGTGAAACCCCATCTCTACTAAAAATACAAAAATATTAGCTGGGCGTGGTGGAGCGCACCTGTAATCTCAGCTACTAGGGAGGCTAAGGCAGGAGAATTTCTTGAACCCAGGAGGCAGAGGTTGCAGTGAGCCAAGATCGTGCCACTGAACTCCAACCTGGGCAACAGCCAGACTGTGTCTCAAAAAAAAAAGGAATGCATGGTTTATTACAGCCAGTTAAATGTCTTGAGGTAAAAAGTTATTGCTTATACATTTATATGTCAAGTGGAACTGCACTTAACTGCAGTGGGATTCAGGACGAGTTAGATGAGCAAGGAGATTTCCTACTACAATCCTGTGAGGCAGGCAGCGACCCGCCACAGGGCGCCAGCCTGCGTGTGTCCCACAGAGCAGGCACTCTGTGCAAGGACAGAAGTTCTGCTGTCCTAAGTGAGCAGCCTCCCCTGGATCTCCTGTAGCTGCAGCTGAAAGGTCTGTACCAGCTATAACAACTGTGTGATGAGATTCTCCCATAGAAAATGCCAAGATGGAAACAAGAAAAAAAGGCCAGCCCCAAAGGAAGGCTTTCTCAGCAACCTTGGCCCTAGGGTATATGAGAACAAGACAGGACAGAATCACTGCTCTCCACCATCTCTGCAGCTGGCAGTTACCAGTGTCAGAAAATTCTCTCTTCTGGCTGGGACCACCAGCCCCACACAGACCCACCTCCTAACGGCCCATGCTGGCAGGAGGGGCAGAGCCCCTGCCCCTCCACCCCCAACCATCCCTAGCAACTGGCTTTTGTCTCCTCACCACTCCCCACAGTCTTGCACCCTGACTCAGGTGTCGCTATAGGGCGCTATTTCCTGGTCCTTCCGGAATAAGGTCATTAGGAGGGACCGATCCCACCTTTTATTCAGGAGGCTGCTAGCACCAGTCCTCCCTGCGGCCTTGCCAAGAGGAGAGTGCTGAAAGGGTGCATCCTCTGTGCTCGGGCTGACTTCACCGTCACCTGGTTTCTTCTCCTTCAGGGAAAAGGGTTTCTTATTGGGGCCTGTGGACATAGGAGGCAGAAAAGAGTTTATGCAATCACAGATCACCTGGAACTGGATTTTTTCACTCTGTTTCTAAGAAAGTAATATTATTTTCATTGTCACAGGAGGTTAGAGAAGAGCCCAAGGAAATAACTGTGAGATGCAAATCCACTGAGAGCCAGCCTCCTCCACTGGCTGGGGAAAGGGCTCACGCTCAAAGGGTTTGGACCAAGAGCATGAGAAACTGAAAAGAGGGCCATGCACAATGGCTCATGCCTGTAATCCCAAGATCAGACTGGGCAACATAGCGAGATCTCATCTCTATAAAATAAATAAAAATAATTTTTTTAAAAAGTGAAAAGAATAATTGAAAACTCACTTATTTTCTTCCTGTGCCAAAAGATAGCCATGTCTTTATGCAAACTTTTCCCCTTCTTTCTAGCCAGGGCTGCAGATGCCTGGAAAACAGTCCACAACCGCCATGTGTGAGTATATCAGGAAACCAAAGGAAATGGGATTGAAAACTCAAATGCAGTAAGCACAACAGACCATTCAAAGGCACCAGGAGCTCCTGTCCTTTGCACGACAGTGATTTCTCCACCCACACGTCTGCTAACTGCATGGTCTCTGGCTGCGGCAGCAGCAGTATTCATCTCCCTTACCTGTCTCACAAGCATGTATTTGCTCTTTCCCCCTTTTTTTTTTTGAGACAGAGTCTCGCTCTGTCAGCCAGGCTGGAGTGCGGTGGTGAGATCTCAGCTTACTGCAATCTCCACCTTCAGGGTTCATGCATTCTCCTGCCTCAGCCTCCTGAGCAGCTGGGACTACAGGCGCCCGCCACCACATCCGGCTAATTTTTTGTATTTGTAGTAGAGACGGGGTTTCACCGTGTTAGCCAGGATGGTCTTGATCTCCTGACCTCAGGTGATCCGCCCACCTTGGCCTCCCAAAGTGCTGGGATTACAGGCGTGAGCCACCGCGCCCGGCCCCTTTTTTTTAATTAACAACTTTGCTTCATAGAACTCACAAACTTGGCCTTGTTGGCATTTGGTGAGATGATTCTCACCAGCTGATCACACATACAGAGACAGAAAGTTTGCGAAGTCACAATTAAGCACAAAAGGGAGCTGCAGAATAACACACATGGGATGCCACTTACCACAGAAAACACACACAAAACCAACCACGTTAGTCTCCGTGTAGATACACTCATAAAAATGTCTAAAAAAATACACATCACACTAGTTAACTGGACTGCTCCTGAGTAACAGGAGAGATGAGGATATTCAGTTTTGTCTGTATCAATGAATTGTTTATAAAGGCAGTCTATTTACATATTAGTTATGTCATAAAATATTTAAGGTTCAGCTGGGAAAATAAGCACATTGCAACAGGCAAAAAATAACTGTAAAAACAAAAGGGGGTTGGGCATGGTGGCTCATGCCCGTTATCCTAGCACTTTGGGAGGTGGAGGTGGGAGGATCACTTGTGCCCAGGAATTTAGGACCAGCCTGGGCCACATAGTGAAACTTCATCTCAAAAAAATAAATAAATAATAAAATAACAATAAAATAAATAGTAGTAATAAATAATAAAAACAAGGCCAGGCATGGTGGCTCACGCCTGTAATCCCAGCACTTTGGGAGGCCAAGGTGCGTGGAACACTGAGGTCAGGAGTTCGAGACCAGCCTGGCCAACGTGGTGAAACCCCCTCTCCACTAAAACTACAAAAATTAGCCAGGCATGGTGGTGCACACACAATCCCAGCTACTTGGGAGGCTGAGGGAGGAGAATCGCTTGAACTGGAAAGGTAAAGGTTGAAGTGAGCCAAGATTGCGCCACTACAATACAGGCTGGGAGACAGAGCAAGGCCCCGTCTCAAAAACAACAACAACAAAAATGAGAGCCGGTACAATGACTCAGGTCTGTAATCCCAACATTTTGGGAGGCTAAGGCAGGAGGACAGCTTGAGGACCGGAGTTCGAGACCTGCCTGAGCAACACAGTAAGACCCCATCTATACAAATGTAAAAATACAAACTTTTTTTAATTAAAAAAATTAAAACTAAAAACAAATTAGGATTACCATATGACCCAGCAATTCCAATCCTAAGAATATACCCCAAAAAACTGAAAGCAGGGACTCAAATAAGTCATATGCCAATGAACATTATTCACAATAGCCAAAAAGTAGAAACAACCCGCGTCTGCCAACAGACGAATCAACAAAACGTAGTCCATCCACTCAATGTAGTATCATTCACTTTATAAATTTATACTTTATAAATTCCTATAGAACGTAATTTTGTCTATGAGAATACTCAGAAAAAATAGTGACGATATAAAGCTATATAACATAAGCAGTCCACGTTCACTGCACCCTAGAAAGTATTATGCATACATTTAGGCTGGGCGCAGTGGCTCACGCCTGTAATCCCAGCACTTTGGGAGGCCGAGGCAGGCAGATCGTGAGGTCAGGAGATCGAGACCATCCTGGCTGACACAGTGAAAGCCCGTATCTACTAAAAATACAAAAAAATTAGCCGGGTGTGGTGGCGGGCGCCTGTAGTTCCAGCTACTCCGGAGGCTGAGGCAGGAGAATGGCGTGAACCCGGGAAGTGGAGCTTGCAGTGAGCCGAGATCATGCCACGGCACTCCAGCCTGGGTGACAGAGCAAGACTCCATCTCAAAAAAATAAATAAATAAATAAAAAGAAAGTATTATGCATACATTTAAAGTCAGGATACAAACCCAGTGCTTCAAAGCAGTTATCTCTAGAGGACAGACTGACAAGGGGAATTTCACTTTTTTTCTTTTTCTTTTTTTTGAGACGGAGTCTGGCTCTGTCTCCCAGACTGGAGTGCAGTGGCACGAACTCGGCTCACTGCAACCGCCGCCTCCCGGATTCAAGCAATTCTCCTGCCTCAGCCTCCCGAGTAGCTGAGATGACAGGCGCGAGCCACCACACCCAGCTAATTTTTTGTATTTTTAGTAGAGATGGGGTTTCACCGTGTTAGCCAGGATGGTCTGGATCTCCTGACCTCATGATCCGCCCACCTTGGCCTCCCCAGGTGCTGGGACTACAAGCGTAAGCCACCACGCCCGGCCAATTTCACTTTTTCTGTATTGTTTGAACGTTTACAGCGATCATCTTCTATGACCAAATAAAACAAAAACAAAACCAAAAAACTCAACTTCCAAAAGTACTATGTGGTTAGAGCCTTTCAGAAGAATTTCTGAATTTCTAAAGCCTTTCAGAAGAATTTCACTTCATGAGAACAACTCTCCCAGCATTTCTAGAGTACTATATTCTGTAGGGACCTAGAATATGCCAAGTTATGAAATAAATAGTGCTATCCCAGCCTATGCTAATAAGATATTTGAGTACTTTCTCTATATTATAGTAAGCAAACAACTGAGGGACCAAAAAAAAAAAACAGGTTTTAAAGTGACAAGGTTCAAATCTAGGGTAACAAATGGCAAGATGGGAGTACTCACATGATCAAAGAAATGTACCACTGCAAGCTTTTTGCTGCGCCTGGTAAAGATGCGCTGCACTTTAGCAATTTTGCCAAAATGGTTCTCCAGAATGGTCCTGTCGTTGAGGTAGTCAGGGATGTTCTTGCACTGGATGGCTGTGACTTCAGAGGGAGACAAGCCCCCAAGACTGTCTGTGCTCTCGCTTCTGTTACTCTGACGCGCCGGAGTTCCTCTTAGAGAATCTAGGGGTTCAGAGAATGGACACTTAAACCATCAGATGTTTCCAACAACAGGAGGCACCAACTGTGTCGAAGCAGAGGAAATTTTCAGATGTAAGACCTGCTCCGATGACATGTTAGAATCCCTAATGTTTATGGGAGATTTATCTGAAAAATCAAGCTAACACCCAGAGAAACGTATTGAAAACCTGCCTGCAGGATTTACTCTATGTGCTACATTTTCAGAGCTCACCTTCTTTCTTCTCTCTACTTTCAGTTTCTTCCTCTTTATTCACACCTGGAATCCGGGAAGGTGCCAGGACAGACTGATTCCCTCCTGGGATAGCCATGTGGTCACTTTCTGCAGACTCAACAAAGCCAGTTTCCTTTTTGGCCTCCTTGTTGCCCAGACGACCTACTTCCTTATTGCTTTTGAAAACATCCTGTATCGTCCGACCAAATAAAGTACCTCCCCGGGGTCGATTCAGGCGGACAGGTCGTTTGTCTGGAGGATGATCGCCCCGGGACAGAGGATCCGAATCTTCTGCTGGCTCGTGGCCATGTCTCCTTGGGGAGCGATCCTGGTCCTCCTTCCTTTTCAGTCCTTTCATTAGGCTGGGAAGTGGTTCCACCTGGGAAACAGCTTCTTCACACCCCTGCCTGACACCTGCTTTGCTAGCCTGGAAAGGTTCGCCCAAAACCGCAGATGATACAGGGAAGCTACTGAAGCTATTATTAGAACTTCCAAATATTGACTTAGGTCCTCTCTTCTCTTCCTCTACATTTTGGTTTGACAAAGCAGGGGTAAAGGCAGATAATGAATTATTACTACTAACAGGTTTTGAAAAGGTAAAATTTGAAGTGGTAGCTGAACTACTTGTTACTTGAGGAAAAGAGAAAGGGGCCAGGCCTCCAGGTGCACTACTAATTGGGTGGGAAAATGTAAAAAACCCAGAAGCAATTTGGCTCTGGGTTTTCTCTGGCTCAGATTCAGCCCCCAGTATTGGTTTGAACACTGCATTTTCCAGAGGTTTAAAGCTGAATTCTGTTTTCCCAAAACCAGAGTTCACTATTTCTCCAGCTTCTTGTCCAAAAGCAGAAGTGCTTGGGAAAGCCCCAACACTGGTGGGTGATTTAAAACTAAATCCTGTGTTTCCCAGCACAGATGAACTTGAAGGCCCAGAGGTAGCCACAAAGGTGGAAGTGTGCTCAAGTCCAGAAAAGGGTCCAACACTTGAGGTTTGGGTGAACCCTAATGTTTGCACTGAAGAGGAATGACTTACTCCAGAAGACGCTGGAAAGCTGGATACCTGTGAAAATCCCGAGCTCTTCCCAGATAAGGTACTGTTTTGTCCAAAAAGAGAAGGTTGACCAAATCGAAATGGCGGCTTAGATGGAAGTGTTCCTACATTACTAGAAGACGCCGAAAAAGCACTAGGCTGCTGCCCACTGAAAGGATTAGTTGGGTTCATCTTCTGCTCCAATTATTAGAAGGTAATTAAGTATTATGTGTACAAAATTAATTGGCTTCCTGAAACAGCCTGTAGCACTAGGGAGTTCCCCTTCGTCTTTAGAACAAGCTGAAAGAGAAAAATTCAGATCATCATAGCTATGTTCTGCTACAAGTCTAAGAAAAGAATTTTTGAACACTGTCATACTAAAAGGATAACTATTTCAAAGGCAGGCAAAGGGTTATTATTTTCTGAGAGCCGATAGGTTATTTTGTTGGAGGGTGGGGTAGAGAGTGGTACAAATAATTACTTTGTTACAGAGGTTTAAAGCGTGATCCTTTAAGATTAAAAAAAAAAAAGCCGAATCTTTTTACTGAGTTAGTAAATTCATGAAAAACCTCCATTGGCAGTAAGAAAATGAATGCTGTTCCACCTTACAACTTAGAGACGAATTTCTCCCGACTTCCTCCAATCTCTACAGCCGGAGAATTCACTGTAACGCTGTCAAAACCTTAGCGTTTCGGGATCTCCTCCCACCTGGCTTCCCTCGGAGCGGCTGGAGCGCTAAGCACTTTCTCACATTCCTTCATCGCGCCCTGGCGGCCACCCTCGAGCGGGCTGGAAGGACGAGGGCGCTGCCACGAAGCTGAGGCCTCTCGGCGGGGACGGCGTGCCCGGGGAGCCTAATCTTCCACCCAGCACAGCCCGAAACGGCGGAGGCCACGCGCTGGGCCCAGGCCGGCCTGGCCACTGTCCCGCCCCGGGCTCGCCAGGGGTCGCCGGCGCCGCAACGCTCCGTTAGCGACGATGTGGAGGCCCGGGCGCGCGGAGCTGCGTGGGGGAAGGAAACGGCGCCCCTGGCGCCGGCCCAGCCCCCACGCTCACCGTCTCGCCCCAGGACCCCGAGGCCCGCGCTGCCCACTGGCCCCTCGGAAAGACTTGAGGCGCAAGCACAGGCTGCTGCCGCGACACTCAGCGCTGCGCACCGCGGGCAGAAAACGCCGCGGACCGACTTCCGGTTCGCTCAGCACTACCGGATTCCGCCCCGCCCGCTGCGATCCGGTTCCGCTCCCCACAACCCGCTCTGTGGCGGGGCTTCCGGTCGGGAGGGTCCGCCCGCTCTCGCGTCCTTTGCTGGGTCCAGACACCGGTACGTCCGGGCGGGTTTTTAGTCTCCCAAGCGAGAGCGTCGCATTCACCCGCGTGGGTCTGCGGGCGCCCCAGACCCCAGAGGACCCGGCCCCCAACGCTTACCTGTCCCCTCTCCTGTCCCTCCCCCATTCCAGCCCCTTCTCTCCCCAGCCGTTGCCCCTCCCCGCACCCCGCCGCGTCCGCGCGCCTCTCTCCGCGCGCACCCCCAACCCGCCCCCTTTTCTCTGGGAACCGCTCCTTCCGCTCCGCCCGCCTGGAGTCCTTCTGGCCGGATTCCGCGGCATCCTTCCATAGACCCTCGTTGTTGCTTCCTCCTTGTGGTAAATGTAAATTCCCTTAAGATTTTCAATCAGTTCCACCAAATAAAGTGATCTGATTGCGCGTGCATCTGTATTTTTACAGACCGTATTATCACTTGTACTGATTGGTCTTCTCTTACACTTTAACCCCAGGTTCCGTTGCAAACATTTTTAAAGGGCTGGTTATTCTTCCTGAAATGAGTTTGGTGATTAGAAATCTGCAGCGAGTCATCCCCATCAGGAGAGCGCCACTTCGCAGTAAGATCGAGATTGTAAGGAGGATTTTAGGAGTGCAGAAATTTGACCTGGGGATCATCTGTGTTGACAACAAGAATATTCAGCACATTAATAGAATCTACAGAGATAGAAATGTCCCAACCGATGTGCTTTCTTTTCCATTTCATGAGGTAAAAAAAAAATGTTCCTCTTCTTGTCTAGCCCATCTTCCCAGAGTAAATTTCCTGTCGTTTTGTTTTGTTTTGTTTTGTTTTTTAATTGAGACGGAGTCTTGCTCTGTCACCCAGGCTGGAGTGCAGTGGTGCGATCTCGGCTCACTGCAACCTCCCTTCCTGGTTCAAGTGATTCTTTTGCCTCAGCCTCCCCAGTAGGTGGGACCACAGATGCTGGCCACCACGCCTGGCTAATTTTTTTTTGTCAGTATTTTTAGTAGAGACGGGGGTTTTACCATGTTGGCCAGGCTGCTCCTGAACTGATCTCAGGTGATCTGCCTGCCTCGGGCTTCCCAGAGTGTTGGGATTACAGGCGTGAGCCAGAGCACCCGGCCTAAATTTCATGTATTAATTATATTATAGGCTAGGCTCCATGGTGCCTATAAGTATATATGTTACAGACATGATTTTTAATTTTAATTTTGAAAATTTTCAAATATACACAAAAGTAGAGAGAGCAGTATATTCAGCCTCCACTGATCGAGGCCCATCACCCAGAGTCTACAATTACACTGGTAACCCAGCAGGAAAAAGAAAGGTGACAGCCGAGCGCGATGGCTCATACCCATAATCCCAGCACTTTGGGAGCCCGAGGCGGGTGGTTCACCTGAGGTCAGGAGTTCGAGATCAGCCTGGCCAACATGGTGAAACCCTGCCTCTACTAAAAACACAAAGAATTAGCTGGGTGTGGTTGTGCCGGGCGGGAGGTGGAGGGGGGCACCTATAATCCTAGCTACCTGGGAGGCTGAGGCAGGAGAATCGCTTGAACCCCAGAGATGGAGGTTGCAGTGAGCTGAGATCACACCATTGCACTCCAGCCTGGGCAAGAAGAGCGAAACTCTGTCTCAGGAAAAAAAAAAGAAAAGAAAAAGGTGACTAGCGTCCACCCCCCTTCCCCTCCTAATGCTCTCAGTGAATTAGAAGAGAGAAGCAAACTGCTTCTGCAATATTTTTGCAGTTTTAAGTGGGATTCGTTAATGAATATGTGCACATTGGAAAAATTAAAACAACACTGAAAATAAACAGACTGGGGTAAATATTTCCAACAAACTCAATGTAATAGCAGTCAGGTTATTATCTACATTCTGTAGATGACTTCATTCAAGGCTTCCCACATTGTAGCAGCAGGAATTGGAGCAATCCTTTGGGAAAGCAACTTGGCATTTCAAACACATGTATCCTTTAGTCCTGTGGTGACACACCCAAGACAATAAACCAAAAGGCAGAAGAGGCCGGGTGCAGTGGCTCACGCCTGTAATCCCAGCACTTTGGGAGGCCGAGGTGGGTGGATCACGATGTCAGGAATTCAAGACCATCCTGGCCAACATGGTGAAACCCCGTCTCTACTAAAAATACAAAAAAAGTTAGCTGGGTGTGGTGGCATTTGCCTGTAATCCCAGCTACTCGGGAGGCTGAGGCAGGAAAATCTCTTGAACCAGGAAGTCGGAGGTTGCAGTGAGCTGAGATTGCACCACTGCACTCCAGCCTGGCGACAGAGCGAGACTCCGTCTCAAAAAGAAAAAAAAAAAAAGAAGAAAAGAAAATGCTGAATCACGTAAAAATGTATTGAAATGTTAATTTATTGGCTGGGCCTATAATCCCAGCACTTTGGGAAGCTAAGGTGGGAGGATCACTTGAGCCCAGGAGTTCAAGACCAGTCTGGGCAACATGGTCAAACCTTGTTTCTACAAAAAATAAAAACAACAATTAGCCGGGCATGGTGGTGTGCAGAGCTGTCGTCCCAGCTACTCAGGAGGCTAAGGTGAGAGGATCGCCTGAGCTCAAGAAACTGAGGCTGCAGTGAGCCAAGACTGCACCTCTGCACTCCACCCTGGGCCACAGAGTAACACCCTTTTTCAAAAAAAAAGTTACCATTTTCTGTAATAGGAAAATAAGAGGAGCATCCTAAATATCCAGCCATAGGTGACTGGCTTAGTGTGAACAGTCCTTAACTAAGTGGACTGGTCTTTATAGTCTTTATGTGGAAAATGTGAAAGACTCTTTAGGACAAAATACCAAGTGGAAAGAACAGGAATATACAGTCGTGTCCATGTGATGATTTAACTCTGTAGAAGTTGTGGATCTGCGTGATTCTGCATTGGGAGGGATGAAAGAAATGAAAAGCCATTTGACAAGGTGATAGCAACCTAAACAAACAGGCTTTTAAAGAAAAGGATGTTTATTTGGGATAGAGCATTGCAGTGAAAATACATGCCACATGCCATAGTAGACTGTGTGGATATTCGCATATTCAGGGAGGTAAAGGAAGGCAAGGGTTTTGTTTTTTTTTTTTTTTTTGAGACGGAGGCTTGCTCTGTCACCCAGGCTGGAGTGCAATGGCACAATCTCGGCTCACTGCAACCTCCACCTCTCAGGTCCAAGCGATTCTCCTGCTTCAGCCTCCCGAGTAGCTGGGATTACAGGCGCCCACCACCACATCTGGCTAATTTTTTTTTTTTTGTATTTTTAGTAAAGTTGGGGTTTCACCATGTTGGCCAAGCTGGTCTAGAACTCCTGACCTCAGGTGATCTACCCGCCTCTGCCTTCCAAAGTGCTGGGATTACAGGCGTGAGCCACTGAGCCCCGCCTGGCAAAGGTTTTTAAAGGAAAAAAACATAATTGTTTTGAGATAATGATCCTTGGTTGCAAAGATCAATAACAAGATTAATGTCCGTCCAAGGTTAGACAGGCAGTTGCTGGGCAGATTATCCTTGCAGAAGTTTCTGTGTGCGTGTAAGGTTGTCATAGCCTTTGTGCAAGGTTGCAGTTTTGTGTGTGTGTAAGGTTGTCATAGCCTTTGTGCAAGGTTGCAGTTTCGTGTGTGTGTGTAAGGTTGTCATAGCCTTTGTGCAAGGTTGCAGTTTTGTATGTGTGTAAGGTTGTCATAGCCTTTGTTGCAGTTTTTGCCATCTTTAGTGACAGTTTTTGTTATCAGGCATGGAAGTATGAGAATCCTCTCTTCATAGCTTTCCCCAGCTCTATTTGTCAGGTTTTTTGGTTTGTTTGTATAACCCTAATGGCTCCATTTTTATTCTGACAAATTCCTTTTTTTTTTTGAGACGGAGTCTTGCTCTGTCAGCCAGGCTGAAGTGCAATGGCGCAGTCTAGGGGCTCACTGCAACCTCCGCCTCCCAGGTTCAAGCGATTCTCCTGCCTCAGCCTCCCGAGTAGCTGGGGTTACAGGCATGTGCCATCACACCTGGCTAATTTTTGTATTTTTAGTAGAGATGGGGTTTCACCATGTTGGTCAGGCTGGTGTCAAACCCCTGACCTCTTGATCTGCCCGCCTCGGCCTCCCAAAGTGCTGGGATTACAGCTGTGAGCCACCACGCCTGGCTATTCTGACAATTTTCACAATGGAAACAATTTAGGGCACTTGTGTACGGTTGGCTGGGCAACCCACCCGCCACAGGCCCAGCTGCCACTCTGGCCTGAGACATGCATCTTAAGAGTGATTTGGGTGGCTGGCACAGTGGCTCACGCCTGTAATCCCAGCACTCTGGGAGGCTGAGGCAGGCAGATCACCTGAGGTCAGGAGTTCGAGACCAGCCTGACCCATATGATGAAACCCCATCTCTACTAAAAAATACAAAAATTAGGCCAGACGCGGTGGCTCACGCCTGTAATCCCAGCACTTTCGGAGGCCAAGGCGGGTGGATCACCTGAGGTTGGGAGTTTGAGACCAGCCTGACCAACACGGAGAAACCCAGTCTCTACTAAAAATACAAAATTAGCCGGGCGTGGTGGCGCATGCCTGTAGTCCCAGCTACTCGGGAGGCTGAGGCAGGAGAATTGCTTGAACCCAGGAGGCGGACACTCCAGCCTGGGCAACAAGAGGGAAACTCTGTCTCAGGAAAAAAAAAAAAAAAAGAAATACAAAAATTAGCTGGGCACGGTGGCATGCACCTGTAATCCCAGCTACTCAGGAGGCTGAGACAGGAGAATCACTTGAACCCGGGAGGCAGAGGTTGCAGTGAGCCGAGATCGCGCCATTCCACTGCAGCCTGGGCAACAAGAGTGAAACTCCGTCTCAAAAAAAAAAAAAAAAAAAGTGATTTGGCTCAGAGATAAGTGCTTATTTGCCTTGGGATTAACCAGGATGAAACCTGTCAACCTGTGGTTGGGTTACGTTTCCTGTTCTCTAAGTCTACATTTCCTCATTTTTTAGCATCTGAAAGCAGGTGAATTTCCCCAGCCTGATTTTCCAGATGACTACAATTTGGGAGACATTTTCCTAGGAGTGGAGTATATCTTCCATCAGTGTAAAGAAAATGAAGATTACAATGACGTCCTGACTGTAAGCGGGGATGCTGAAATCATATAACCTGGCTCATGGAACATGGGCCTTGCAAAGGGGTCAAGATCACAACCCTGCATCCATGTGTGTCCGTGGGTACCGTAAGGGCTACTGGGGGAAGAACCTGTAAGCAGGGTGTGAGGAGCACCCAGGCTGGGTAGGGACTGCATGCCCCATGCCACAGTTGAAGGAGGGAGAGAACACGCTGTGAAAACACAGAAGCTCCCAGAGAAGCCTTCTCAGCTTTTATCTCTGGAGTAGAGCAGACTATGTTGAGCTAACACAGACCTGCTGAATCAGCTTCTTTCTGAGCTGCCAGAAGTACAGAAGTTGGAGCCTCCACCACCTTCCAGATCTGTTTCTCCTCAGTGTAATCCACCTATGGGTTCTTCCTGCCCACTGCACAGACAAAACCAATTCACTGCAATTGTGGTATTGCAGTAGAGAAAGAGTTTAACACAGAGCTAGCCAAGCAGAAAGGCTGGAGTTATTATTCAACTCAATCTCCCAGAGAACTCAGAGGCTACAGTTTCTACAGGCAATTTGGCAGGCAGGGGCTAGGGAATGCCTGCTGCTGATCGGCTGCAGACGGACCATGGGGTGTCAACGATTTTTGTCCCCTGAGTCCGCCTCTGCGTGGAGCCACGGGATCAGCTGAGTCATGAGTCTCAGGTCCAGGTGGAGTCTGTAGGTTGCCAGAACTCAAAAGTCTGAAAAACATCCCAAAAGACCATTCTTAGGTTGTACTATTGACGTTATCTTATTGGGGAGCAATTGGGGCGGTCACAAATCTCGTGACCTCTGGCTGCGTGAGTCCTGAGCAGTAGGGAATTACAGCAGGGCAAGCTGGGGAAGCAAGGCCTGCGGGCTGGTTCTCCTCAGGACACCTACATCTGAGCAGAATTCAGGCCCCTCCCATCATCCTAATCTTGTGGCCCTTCACAAGCTTCACAGAGGTGGCTTCGGTCTTGAGCAAGGAGGGGATTCGTTTTAGGGAGGGATGATTACTATTCTTGATTTAAAGTTAAACTCTAGATTAAATTCCTCCCGTGGTTAGCTTGGCCTGTGCCCGGGACTGAGTGGGGACAGCCACGCAAGTTAAACTCTAGATTAAATTCCTCCCGCGGTTAGCCTGACCCGTGCCCGGGACTCAGTGGGGACAGCCACGCAAGTTAAACTCTAGATTAAATTCCTCCCGCGGTTAGCCTGACCCGTGCCCGGGACTCAGTGGGGACAGCCACGCAAGTTAGACTCTAGATTAAATTCCTCCCGCGGTTAGCCTGACCCGTGCCCGGGACTCAGTGGAGTCAGCCACACAAGTTAAACTCTAGATTAAATTCCTCCCGCGGTTAGCCTGACCCGTGCCCGGGACTCAGTGGAGTCAGCCACGCAAGTTAAACTCTAGATTAAATTCCTCCCGCGGTTAGCCTGACCCGTGCCCGGGACTCAGTGGGGACAGCCACACAAGTTAGACTCTAGATTAAATTCCTCCCGCGGTTAGCCTGACCCGTGCCCGGGACTCAGTGGGGACAGCCACACAAGTTAAACTCTAGATTAAATTCCTCCCGCGGTTAGCCTGACCTGTGCCCGGGACTCAGTGGGGACAGCCACGCAAGTTAAACTCTAGATTAAATTCCTCCCGCGGTTAGCCTGACCCGTGCCCGGGACTCAGTGGAGTCAGCCACACAAGTTAAACTCTAGATTAAATTCCTCCCGCGGTTAGCCTGACCCGTGCCCGGGACTCAGTGGGGACAGCCACGCAAGTTAAACTCTAGATTAAATTCCTCCCGCGGTTAGCCTGACCCGTGCCCGGGACTCAGTGGGGACAGCCACACAAGTTAAACTCTAGATTAAATTCCTCCCGCGGTTAGCCTGACCCGTGCCCGGGACTCAGTGGAGTCAGCCACGCAAGTTAGACTCTAGATTAAATTCCTCCCGCGGTTAGCCTGACCCGTGCCCGGGACTCAGTGGAGTCAGCCACACAAGTTAGACTCTAGATTAAATTCCTCCCGCGGTTAGCCTGACCCGTGCCCGGGACTCAGTGGGGACAGCCACACAAGTTAGACTCTAGATTAAATTCCTCCCGCGGTTAGCCTGACCCGTGCCCGGGACTCAGTGGAGTCAGCCACGCAAGTTAGACTCTAGATTAAATTCCTCCCGCGGTTAGCCTGACCCGTGCCCGGGACTCAGTGGGGACAGCCACGCAAGTTAGACTCTAGATTAAATTCCTCCCGCGGTTAGCCTGACCCGTGCCCGGGACTCAGTGGAGTCAGCCACGCAAGTTAGACTCTAGATTAAATTCCTCCCGCGGTTAGCCTGACCCATGCCCGGGACTCAGTGGGGACAGCCACGCAAGTTAGACTCTAGATTAAATTCCTCCCGCGGTTAGCCTGACCCGTGCCCGGGACTCAGTGGGGACAGCCACACAAGTTAGACTCTAGATTAAATTCCTCCCGCGGTTAGCCTGACCCGTGCCCGGGACTCAGTGGAGTCAGCCACGCAAGTTAGACTCTAGATTAAATTCCTCCCGCGGTTAGCCTGACCCGTGCCCGGGACTCAGTGGAGTCAGCCACACAAGTTAGACTCTAGATTAAATTCCTCCCGCGGTTAGCCTGACCCGTGCCCGGGACTCAGTGGAGTCAGCCACACAAGTTAAACTCTAGATTAAATTCCTCCCGCGGTTAGCCTGACCTGTGCCCGGGACTCAGTGGAGTCAGCCACACAAGTTAAACTCTAGATTAAATTCCTCCCGCGGTTAGCCTGACCCGTGCCCGGGACTCAGTGGAGTCAGCCACGCAAGTTAGACTCTAGATTAAATTCCTCCCGCGGTTAGCCTGACCCGTGCCCGGGACTCAGTGGAGTCAGCCACGCAAGTTAAACTCTAGATTAAATTCCTCCCGCGGTTAGCCTGACCCGTGCCCGGGACTCAGTGGGGACAGCCACACAAGTTAAACTCTAGATTAAATTCCTCCCGCGGTTAGCCTGACCCGTGCCCGGGACTCAGTGGGGACAGCCACGCAAGTTAGACTCTAGATTAAATTCCTCCCGCGGTTAGCCTGACCCGTGCCCGGGACTCAGTGGAGTCAGCCACACAAGTTAAACTCTAGATTAAATTCCTCCCGCGGTTAGCCTGACCCGTGCCCGGGACTCAGTGGGGACAGCCACGCAAGTTAGACTCTAGATTAAATTCCTCCCGCGGTTAGCCTGACCCGTGCCCGGGACTCAGTGGAGTCAGCCACCCCAGACCTCTCTCACTGTTATCATTTTTGCACAGGTGGTTTCAGCAGCTTGATGCCAAAAAAAAAAAAAAAAAAGGAAAAGCATTCTGAAAAGCCATGTATGAGTGAATCATACTTAACTTGGCCTCCTTTGGCTGCACAGCCATGCCCTGAATCGCCCTTGTGGATCCAAGTGCATCTGTGTGGCTTGAGGCAGAGCTTCCCAGCCAGACCCAGTGTGAAAGGATGGGACGGCCACACAGGAACCTGGGCCCCAACTGCTCCCTCCAGACCTGGGTGGGACTTGCCCGCCATGCACACCCTGCTGGGGAAGAGGGAGTTTCTGAGAGTGACAGGAAGTGGCCCAGCCGGAGATTCAGCCCTGGGATCTCTGTGGCCAGCAACTGTGGGCGGGGGGGTATGTGGACATCTGCTTCCATTTTCCCCAAACCTAAGATTCTGTTCCCTGGTCTTCCCCTGGCATTTCTTCCTCGGGCCCAGAGCCCTCTCCTTGGGGCTCCCTATTACCCTGAGGGGAGGGCCAGCCCACCAGCCCAGGACCCCATCCTCATAGCCACAGGCCAGGCCAGCTCTGCTCAGGGCTGGCTCTCAGCTGCACTCTCCATCTACCCTGCCTTGTCCTCCATGTCTCCAGGCACCTCCCGCCAGCCCCAAGGATACCCACCTCCCAGACCTCCCTCTTCCCTCCACCCAAACCCCAGGGGAGTGCTACCCCTATGGCCCATGTGGCTCCATAAACCCCCTTGGTGCTGTGCCTGCTCAGGGTCCACAGGCCCTCCCTCCTCTTCCTCCTCCTCCTCCTCTTCCCCCAGCTCTGGGCTCCATCCGGGTGCCCCTCCCCTGTGGGCTTTAATCCAGCCCTCTCTCCAGGGGGACATGGCGACTGTGGGTCTTCCTGACTCACCAGCAGCTGCACCTCCCTCCGCCTCCGCCTTCATACCTCTCCCGCACTCCCTGTGCTGCCTGTGCCCCAAAGCTCTACCCAGAGTGTTCAGTAAAATCAGGGGCCACCGGAGGCCCCATCCTGACTGGGGGTTGGACCTGGGGTGTGGGCTGTGCGCTTGCCTCGTCCCTCTTAGGGCAGGGAGGCCACCCCTGGCCGGTGCCCCACTGCCCCACCACCCCGTGGCACCCACCCCTCCCCACTTCTTCATATTCCATCCCCCCTTGCCCATTGCTCCTGCGGCTGGGCAGTTCCATCCTGGGGGCCCCTCCCCAGCACAGTGCTGGCCCAGACAGCAATCCACGTTGACTAAAGACTCTCAAAGGGGCTTGCTTGCTTTCCATTTTAGATGGAAGGGAACTGAAGCTGAGTGCCTGTAATTCCTGCCCAGGGGTCTCACAGCAACCCTGGGGTCCTGCAGCCACATACCAAGAGCAGCCTGTGGCCCTGGGGTGGCCCTGAAGGGGCAGGTTCCTGTGGGGTCATCCTCTGAGCCGGTTTAAAATTATTCTGACAGGTGACGGCCACCCACGGACTCTGTCACTTGCTGGGATTCACACACGGCACGGAGGCAGAGTGGCAGCAGGTAAGGAGCCCATCCATCCCACTACCGAGGGGGTGCGTGGGGGAAGGAGGCTCCCCCAGGCCCCTGCCAGCCCCCACCCTCCATCTTGACCGCCCCCGCAGGAACTGGACCTCAGACCTGCCCTTGTAAAAATGACACAGATGTTTGCTTTCAACACCGGGCTCCCCAAATACTTCCAGCTGAATGTGTTCACTAAGGAAAGCGGTCTGAGTGCAGAGGCCGAGAGCCACAGCTGACACTAGCACGTGGCGCTTGGTCAAAAAGGTCCAATCAGCTAGAGACTAGGCCAGACCCAGGGCGGAGGCGGGAGCTCTGCGTGGAGTGAGTTCCGGGTTGGTTTCCTCCAGACCCATGCGCTCCGCCTACGGAGGCCCACGTGGGCTCCGGTCCACATGGTTAACACGCACGCAAGCCCGTGTTGGGAGCAAACTGCTTCTCTGAAAGTCATGAAAAACCTTTTTCATTAAAAAAAGAAAAAGTTTGGCCGGGCGCAGTGGCTCACGCCTGTAATCCCAGCACTTTGGGAGGCCGAGGCAGGCGGATCAACTGAGGTTGGGAGTTCGCGACCAGCCTGGCCAACATGGAGAAACCCTGTCTCTACTAAAAATACAAAATTAGCTGGGCCTGGTGGTGCATGCCTGTAATCCCAGCTACTCAGGAGGCTGAGGCAGGAGAATCGCTTGAACCCAGGAGGCGGAGGTTGTGGTTAGCCGAGAGATCGCGTCATTGCACTCCAGCCTGGGCAACAAGAGTGAAAGTCCGTCTCAAAAAGAAAAAGAAAAAGTTGGCCAGGCGCAGTGGCTCACGCCTGTAATCCCAGCACTTTGGGAGGCCGAGGAGGGTGGATCACTTGAGGTCAGGAGTTCAAGACCAGTCTGGCCAACATGGTGAAACCCGGTCTCTACTAAAAACGCAAAGATTAGCCGGGCGTGGTGGTGGGCGCCTGTAATCCCAGCTACAGGGGAGGCTGAGGCAGGAGAATCGCTTGAACCCGGGAGGTGGAGGTTGCAGTGAGCCCTCCTCCCCTCCTCCCCCTTCCCTTCCCACCTCCCATGCCCCCCTTTCTTCCTCCCACTCCCCTCCCGAGGCCCCGCTTATTCTCCCGGCCTGTGGCGGTTCGTGCACTCGCTGAGCTCAGGTTCTGGTGAAGGTGCCCGGAGCCGGGTCCCGCCTTCGGCCTGAGCTAGAGCCGCGCGGGCGGCCGGCTTCCCCCAAACCCTGTGGGAGGGGCATCCCGAGGAGGCGACCCCAGAGAGTGGGGCGCGGACACCTTCCCTGGGGAGGGCCAGCGCGCTTCCTTCCTTCCAGATGTTCCAGAAGGAGAAGGCGGTGCTGGACGAGCTGGGCCGACGCACGGGGACCCGGCTGCAGCCCCTGACCCGGGGCCTCTTCGGAGGGAGCTGAGGGCCGCGTTCCTTCTGAAAGCGGGACGCGGGAGGGGTGGAGGCTGCGGGGAGCCGGGGTCGCACACGAATAAATAACGAATGAACGTACGAGGGGAACCTCCTCTTATTTCCTTCACGTTGCATCGGGTATTTTTCGTTATTGTAAATAAAACGGTTCCGAGCCGTGGCATCGAGAGGGCGTCTGGAGTTCAGGGAACGCGTGGCCCCCGCCCGGGAGCACCGCGCAGCGCTCGCCTCTCGCCCTTCAAGGGGGTCCCTGCCCGGAGCCTGCGCCCCCGGAGAGGAAGGGGCTCGAGGGGCTTGGGTGCCGCAGCGCGTCCTTCCGTAGAAAAGGCTTGCGTCAGTATTTCCTGCTTTTACCTCCTGAGTATTGGAATATTCGAGTAAACCCTGGAGTTTCAGCGCCAGCGCACGCCTCTTCATCAGGGCAGCGCGTCGCGAGCGCGCTGGTTCCCCGGGGCCTCCCGGCCACGGACACCGCTCTAGCCAGGGCCACGGCGAGGCCGCCGAGCAGCACCTCAGAGACCTGCGTGAGTTCTAAAGCCTGGGGCTACTACAATTCTGCTCATCTGTTTGTCCTGTGAAATGATTCAGGGACATGAAAATGCCTTCCCACTGACTTGCGTCCTGTCTTAGCCTGGACTTGTCCCCTTGGGAACACGGGCCAGGCCCCTCTGTTCCTGAAGTCGCTGCACCACCGCGCCCTTCGGTGAAGAGCGTTCTGTTTACTGTGAGACATAGCTTCATGTCGAAAAAGTACTCGTGAAAACAGAAAATGGAGTCAGCTTTAATCCAAGCTTTTTTTTTTTTGAGACGGAGTCTCGCTCTGTCGCCCAGGCTGGAGTGCAGTGGTGCGATCTCGGCTCACTACAGGCTCCGCCCGCCGGGGTTCACGCCATTCTCCTGCTTCATCCTCCCGAGTAGCTGGGACTACAGGCGCCCGCCACCTCGCCCGGCTAATTTTTTGTATTTTTAGTAGAGACGGGGTTTCACTGTGTTAGCCAGGATGGTCTCCATCTCCTGACCTCGTGATCCGCCCACCTCGGCCTCCCAAAGTGCTGGGATTACAGGCGTGAGCCACCACGCCCGGCCTGTTTTGTTATTTTGAGGTAGGGTCTGGCTCTGTTGCCCAGGCTGGAGTGCAGTGGTGCAGTCTCGGCTCACTGTAACCTCTGCCTCCTGGGCTCAAGCCATTCTCCTGCCTCAGCCTCCCGAGCAGCTGGGACTACAAGTGCGCACCACTACGCCCAGCTAATTTTTGTTTCTGTAGAGACAGGGTTTCGCTGTGTTGACCAGGCTGGGCTTGAACTCCTGACCTCAAGTAATCTGCCCGCCTCAGCCTCCCAAAGTGCTGGGATCACAGGTGTGAGCCACACACCGTGTCCGGCCCAATCCTGTATTTCTTTCTTTCTTTTTTTTTTTTTTTTTGGAGTGATTCTCCTGCCTGAGCCTCCCAGGTAGCTTGTACTACATGTGTGTGCCACCACACCTGGCTAATTTTTGTATTTCTTAGTAGAGACAGGGTTTCACCATGTTGGCCGGGCAGGTCTCAAATTCCTGACCTCAAGTGATTGATCCGCCTAGGCCTCCCAAAGTGCTGACATTATAGGTGTGAGCCGCTGTGCCTGGCCCCAACCCTTTGTTTCTTTAGGGAATGTGAGCAAATGCCCTTCTGACCTGAATCTGAGGAAGAGCCGCCCGTGGCCCAGGCAGCAGCAGCATCACCTGTTGCAGGGTAGTTTCCTGCTCTAGGAACCTGGTAGTTAGGAGTGGGGGCTCACAGGTCACCACTGCCCAGCCTGTCCCCAGCCATACTGCCCTGATTCTGGACCCTCTTGCAAGCCAGAGTGTCGTCAGAGCAGGTCCGTCCTCATCCTTCTGCTCCCAGAGTCACCCGGCCCTTCACGTTCTGTGTGGTTCCAGATTCAGCTCCTCACATGCCAGGAAGAATGTGGTATCTTGACTGGAGTTGCATTGAATCTGCAGATCTGCCAACCCTGTGGAGGCTCTGACCCATGCATATGTGCTGCCTTGGTCCCTGGGTCATCTTCAACCTCTCTCAGTGAGTGTCACCCAACTTATCAGGTGTACAGGTGTGCACAATGTGCCCTGAGCCCCCCCCACCACAGGCAAGGAGGTGTGGCCATGAGAAGCCCCCACTCCTAACTACCAGGTACCAGGCACCCAGACCCCAAAACCCCTGCCAAGTAGCCCAAGCCCATTTTCAGGGCCTGCTCTGAGCTCTTCAGCCTACCCAGGTGGACCAAGGGGGACCAAGGGGGACTGTGTATGGGGGTGAGCTCATCCCCTGCCCCACCCTCAGGTGTGACCCCACCCCTCCTGCAGGCCAGTCAAGGCTAAGCCAGTGCAGCTGTGCCCTCACCAGACACTCTGGATGCCAGAGCCTTTCATCCCTGTGAACCCAGCAAGACCAGGCCATCCAAAGACCACCACTTCCTGTGACATTTCTTCCCTCTGTTGTATGAAAAATTCTGTTGAGAAATATTTAATAGGCTGGGCGCGGTGGCTCAACGCCTGTAATCCCAGCACTTTGGGAGGCCGAGGCAGGTGGATCACGAGGTCAGGAAATCAAGACCATCCTGGCTAACACAGTGAAACCCCGTCTCTACTAAAAATACAAAAAATTAGCTGGGTGTGGTGGCGGGCACCTGTAGTCCCAGCTACACGGGAGGCTGAGGCAGGAGAATGGCATGAACCTGGGAGGCGGAGCTTGCAGTGAGCCGAGATCGCTCCATTGCACTCCAGCCTGGGCGACAAGAGCAAAACTCTGTCTCAAAAAAAAACATTTTTAATAGAAAGAAAGAAATGCCATGCTGGAAAGTCACCTTGAAAAGAGGAAATGGAGTCTGAGCTTTGGTTTGAGCTTTTAACGAGAGCACAGAGTCTCTGGAATCACCTTCAAGAGGCACGAAAAGATGGTTCTGAGAGAAGTGAGTGTTACTGCCAGTAGCTGCGCTGGGCCCTTCGGTGTTCACACCTGCCCGTCCATGTCAGCACCAGGTGGCTGTCCCTGGGGAGCTCTGCAGCTCAGTGGCAACTCTCTGGTCATCCTGTCTCCTACCTGCAAACTTTCAAAGATGGAAGCACTGGGACAGGGTTCCTCCTTGTGCGGAACTTCAGGAATGAAAGAATCTGTCCTAATAGGGGGTGAATGAAAGTTTATGTATACTACTTAAAAATATGTAAACAACATTAAAAGAGCAAAGAAACATAATTGCACCCAAAAAAAAAAGTAACAAAAAGTAAAGAAAAGAAATAGTCAAGGTAGCCTGTCCACATGGTAAGAAACCCCACAGCACAGAAGGAAACTGAACTGAGGGGAGTGAGCCGCCCTTCCACTGCCCAGCACTCACCTTTGCTTTACAGGAACAAGAGCTGTGCAAACCAGCATGTAGAGATTTCTGCATTTATAGCATTAGCACTCTCCCTTTTTTTTTTTTATTAACTCAAAAGGGATCACGTCATACACAGCTTGCTTCTTTCACTTTTTTATTTTATTTTTGAGACAGGGGCCTGCTCTGTGGTCCAGGCTATAGTGCAGTGGTTCCATCAGAGCTCACTGCAGCTTCTAACTCCTGGGCTCAAGCAATCCTCCCACCTCAGCCCCCAGAGC
Organism: Homo sapiens; assembly: GCF_000001405.40. Classification (NCBI taxonomy): domain Eukaryota; kingdom Metazoa; phylum Chordata; class Mammalia; order Primates; family Hominidae; genus Homo; species Homo sapiens. The sequence goes on from NC_000021.9 coordinate 46,301,271, forward strand.
TGCTGAGATAACAGGCGCATATCACCACACCTGGCTAGTTTTTTAAATTTATTTTTTGTAGAGACGGGGTCTTGCTATGTGACCCAGGCTGGTCTCGAATTCCTGAGCTCAAGTGATCCTCCTGCCTCAGCCTCTTAAAGTGCTGGGATTACAGGCATGAGCCATGCACCCCTACTTCTTTAGTGGGAGTCTGTGCCACAGCTGTGGACACAGGTGTCCCTAGTTATTAAATTAGACTTTGTGGTATTTTCCCCATCAGGATGTTCACACTTCCATGTGGCTAAAGCTATTGATCTTTTCTGTTCTGGCTCCTGAGCTGAGATTTTCTTAAACTCTTTCTGGATGAAATCTTTATTTCATCAGGCTGGTGGCGTCCACGGCCTCAACTTTACCTCCGTGATGGAAGAGGGGGATCTGAGGCTCCCAGGTGGGCCGGCGCCGCCCTACAGGAAAGGAGGGGTCCCTGGGAGGGGCTGTTGCCCTGGTGGGGTTCACAGGCCCCTCACTGCAGGGGACCCGGAGCAAGGGATGCCCCCTGGAATGGCCCCGTGACCAGAAAGCGAGCCTGCCCAGCTTCCCCAGGAGGAGCCTGCAGTCCACACTCGCGTAGCCACTCCGGGTGGTGGCAGGGTCTCTCCCTGCTCCCTTCCATAGTCCCGCCACAGCCCACAGCCCTGAGGAAGCCTGGGGGTGGAGGGTGCCCCGGCCAGGGTCTCTGTGACTCACACTCAGGGTGGGCCAGGCGTCCACAGGCTGGGGGCGGGCTGGAGGACAGTGGCAGCCCCAGGTGGCCACACAGCATGGTGGTGGTGGTGGTGGTGGTGCACGGCAGGCAGCCTTGGCCTGGCAGCTCGTGGGACCCTCGGGGGCACATGTGGCGGGTCCTGCCACAGACGCACCTGCTGCTTAGGACGCAGCCCAGGCTGCTCCCCACCTCCACTCCCGCCCTGTTCCTAACTGGGGCTGGATCCCATGTGATAGGCAGGATGGCAGGGTCTAAGCATCCTCCCAGAGGAGGCTCCTCCCCCGCCCCAAATTGTGCAACCCATTCCTCATCTGGGCTGGGACTCGATGGGGATGGGGGCTTCACAGCCAGACTGTAGACCTGAGCCAGGAATGCCCTTTCAGAGCTACACAGATGCAGAAATTTCCAGAAGAAAAACCACCCAGGCCCTGTTTCCTTGGCCTAGGGTTCTGCTGGGGGCTAAGCCTACCTGCAGGGCTGGGGGCAGGGCCTTGAGCATCCAGTTCTGCAGGACCAACTGGTGCACCTGTGCGTTCTGCAGCAGCAGCAGCTCCACCATGTCTGCAGGGAAGAAGCAGGGGGACCCTGAATAAAGTTTCCGTTTTTCCTATTTGTTAAAGTGATAGAGCATTATAGGACCAGAGAACAGGTGTGTCTGTACACTGTGCAGGTCCCCGGGGCAGGCTCTGAGTCCGTCTGCACACGGTGCGGGTCCCCGGGGCGCGCCCTGAGCCCGTCTGCACACGGTGCGGGTCCCCGGGGCGCGCCCTGAGCCCGTCTGCACACGGTGCGGGTCCCCGGGGCGCGCCCTGAGCCCGTCTGCACACGGTGCGGGTCCCCGGGGCGCGCCCTGAGCCCGTCTGCACACGGTGCGGGTCCCCGGGGCGCGCCCTGAGCCCGTCTGCACACGGTGCGGGTCCCCGGGGCGCGCCCTGAGCCCGTCTGTACACGGTGCGGGTCCCCGGGGCGCGCCCTGAGTCTCTACTAAAAATACAAAAATTAGCCAGGCGTGGTGGTTCAAGCCTGTAATCCCAGCTCCTTGGGAGGCTGAGGCATGAGAATCGCTTGAACTCAAGAGGCAGAGCTTGCGGTGAGCCAAGATCGTGCCACTGTACTCCAGCCTGGGCAACCAGGGCGAAACTCCGTCTCAAGAAAAAAAAAAAATTAAAACATCTAAGCCAGTTGTAGTGGTGCATGCCTGTAGTCCCAGCTACTCAGGAGGCTGAGGCAGGAGGATCACTTGAGCCCAGGAGTTCGAGGCTGTAGTGAGCCATGATCATGCCCCTGCACTCTAGCCTGGGTAACAGAGCAAGATACTATCTCCCCAGAAAATAAATAATAAAATATCTGTTCATCTACAGACACCATGAAGAGAGTGAAAAGGCAACCACAAGAAGGATGGAACACTCAAAATGCACATATCAAAAAAGGGCTCATTACAGAAATTATAAAGAATCCCTAGAAACCAATAAGGGAGGCAGGCAACCTGAAAGAAAAATGGGCAAATTACTTAAATGGACACTTTACAAAAAAGGATATTCAAGTAGCCAATAAGGCCAGGCACGGTGGCTCATGCCTGTGATGCTCGCACTTTGGGAGACCGAGACAGGAGAAGTCCTTGAGACCAGGAGCTGACACCAGTCATAGCAAGACCTCATCTCTACACACACACACACACACACACACACACAAAATATATATATATATATATATATATATATATATATATATTTTTTTTTTTTTTTTTTTTTTTGGAGACAGAGTCTTGCTCTGTCGCCGAGGCTGGAGTGCAGTGGTGCGATCTCGACTCACTGCAAGCTCCGCCTCCTGGGTTCACGCCATTCTCCTGCCTCAGCCTCCTGAGTAGCTGGGACTACAGGTGCCCGCCACTGCGCCCGGCTAATTTTTTGTATTTTTTGTAGAGATGGGGTTTCACCGTGTTAGCCAGGATGGTCTCGATCTCCTGACCTCATGATCCACCTGCCTTGGCTTCCCAAAGTGCTGGTTTTTTTTTTTTTTTTTTTTTTTTGAGACGGAGTCTCACTGTGTCACCCAGGCTGGAGTGCAGTGGTGCAATCTTGGCTCACTGCAAGCTCTGCCTCCCAGGTTCATGCCATTCTCCCACCTTAGCCTCCTGAGTAGCTGGGACTACAAGCACCCGCCACCACGCCCGGCTAATTTTGTTTTTGTATTTTTAGTAGAGATGGGGTTTCACTGTGTTAGCCAGGATGGTCTGGAACTCCTGACCTCATGATCTGCCCGCCTCGGCCTCCCAAAGTGATGGGATTACAGGCGTGAGCCACTGCGCCTGCCCTACACAAAATTTTTCAAATTAGTTGACTGTGCCTGTAGTCCCAGCTACTTGGGAGGCTGAGGTGGGAGGAGTGCTTGAGCCCAGAAGTTGAGGCTGCAGCGAGGTATGATTGCACCACTGCACTCCAGCCTGGGCAATGGAGTGAGACCCTGTCTCTTAGAAAAAAAAAAACCTCAAAAAACAAAAACAAATGGCCAATAAATATATGAAAAAGTGAAATGCAAATTAAACCAGAATGAACTTCCATAAGATGCCCACCACGCTGGCAAAAATGAAAAGTGTGAAAATGCCAAGTGTTGGTGAAGTGCTCTGGCGACTGAAATTCTCATTCATGTATGTGGAGTGTAAATGGGCACAAACCTTTTGAGAGACTGTGTGGCTGTATTTCCTGACACAGCCATTTCTGTCCTAGGCATGCGTTCCATTAGAGGGCAAAAAGGACTGTGCAGATGTAAGCCTGGAATCTTGAGCGGGGACGGAAGCAACCCAAGTGTACATCAGTAGATAGATAAATGGAGGCAGAAATGTGGTCTATCCATACAATGGACTGTTACTCATCTGTGACCTGCTGCAATGTGGGTGATCCTTGAGGACATCACACTAAGCGAAATAAGCCAGTCACACAAAGACAAATACTGTGTGGCTCCACTCACAGGACACAGCGAACACAGTCAGACTCATAGAAACAGAACACAGGACGGTGGTTGCCAGGCACTGGCAGGTGGGGATGATGTAGTCACACAAAGACAGATACTGTACGGCTCCATTCATCTGACACATCGAACACAGTCAAACTCGTAGAAACAGAACAGAGGAAGGTGGTTGCCAGGCACTGACGGGAGGGGGTGACGTAGTCCGACGGGTGGAGTCTGAGATTTGCAAGATAAAAATGTTCTGCGGCACAGCAGTGACTACAGTTAACGCTACTGAACTTTGCACTTAAGTGGTCACAATGGTAAAGTTACATGGTTTTTTTTTTTTTTAATCACAAATTAATCTTTTTTTTTTTTTTTTTTTTGAGACAGGGTCTCACTCTGTTGCCCAAGCTGGGACGCCTTGGTGTGAACACAGCTCACTGCAGCATGGACCTCCTGGGCTCAAGGGATCCCCCCATCTCATCCTCCCAAGTAGCTGGGACCACAGGCACATGCCACCATACCCAACTAATTTTGATATGTTTTGTAGAGAAGAGGTCTCAATATGTTGCCCAGGCTGGTCTTGAACTCCTAGGCTCAAGTGATCCTCCCATATCAGTCTCCCAAAGTGCTGGGATTACAGATATGAGCCACTGTGCCATGCTGTAAATTAACTTTTAAAAAAAGAATCTTGGCCGGGCGCGGTGGCTCACGCCTGTAATCCCAGAACTTTGGGAGGCTGAGGTGGGCGGATCATGAGGTTAGAAGATCGAGACCATCCTGGCTAACACGGTGAAACCCCGTCTCTACTAAAAATACAAAAAAAAATTAGCCGGGCCTGGTGGCGGGCACATGTAGACCCAGCTACTCGGAAGGCTGAGGCAGGAGAATGGCGTGAACCTGGGGGGCAGAGCTTGCAGTGAGCTGAGATTGCGCCACTGCACTCCAGCCTGGCAGACAGCGAGACTCCGTCTCAAAAAAAAAAAGAAAAGAATCTTGAGTGCTGGGTGCTATAATCCCAGCTACTTGGGAGGCTGAGGTGGGAGGATCGCTTGAGGCCAGGAGTTTTGGACCTGCCTTAGGTGATATAGCAACACTGTGACTCAAAAAAAAAAAAAAAAGACTCATGAGATGGGAATATAATCCTGGATTATCTGGGCAAGCCCAGTGCAATCACAGGGTCCTTAGAAAGTGGTGAGATAAAATGACTGTCAATCTAGATTTGAATATGCAGCAAAACTTGCATTTAAAAATAAAGGTAGGGCCGGGCATGGTGGCTCACGCCTGTAATCCCAGCACTTTGGGAGGCTGAGGAGGGTGGATCATGAGGTTCAAGACCATCTGGCCAACATGGTGAAACCCCGTCTCAACTAAAAATACAAAAATTAGCTGGGCATGGTGGCACACGCCTGTAGTCCCAGCTACTTGGGAGGCTGAGGTAGGAGAATCGCTTCAACCTAGGAGGCGGAGGTTGCATTGAGCTGAGATCATGCCACTGCACTCCAGCCTGGCAACAGAGCGACACTCCCATCTCGAAAAAAAAAATCTTTTATGAATTCCTTTAGAACAGTTATACAAACTCCCTCAGTATCTACTTTCCTGCAAATGTTTTTTATTTCCATTTATTTATGTATTTATTTAGAGACAGGGTTTCACTCTCTTGCCCAGACTGCAGTACAGTGGCACAGTCACAGCTCACTGCAGCCTCCACCTCCTGGGTTCAAGTGATCCTTCCACCTCAGCCTCCCAAGTAGCTAGGACCACAGGCATGCACCTAACACTTGGCAAATTTTTGTATTTTTTTGTAGAGATGGAGTTTCCCCATGTTGCCCAGGCTGGTCTGGAACTCCTGAGCTCAAGCAATCCTCCCACCTCGGCCTCCCAAAATGCTGGGATTACAGGTGTGAGCCGCTGTGCCCGGCCTCCCCTTATTTTTATTTATTTTTTTTAAGACAGAGTCTTGGTCTGTCACCCAGGCTGGAGTGCAGTGGCGTGATCTCAGCTCACTGCAGCCTCCGCCTCCCAGGCTCAAGCAATTCTCCTGCCTCAACCTCCCAAGTAACTGGGATTACAGGCGCCCACCACCACACCTGGCTGATTTTTGTATTTTTAGTAGACACGGGATTTCACCATGTTGGCCAGGCTGGTCTCGAACTCCTGACCTCAGGTGATCCAGCCTCTTTAGCCTCCCAAAGTGCTGGGATTACAGGTGTGAGCCGCTGCGCCCAGCCAAGATTGCATCTTGCTATGTTGCCCAGGCTGGTCTCAAGCTCCTAGGCTCAAGCGATCTTCCTGCTTCAGCCTCCCAAAGTGCTGGGATGACAGGCATGAGCCACTGTGCTGGCCGTTAACCACTGATTTTAAATGCTGCATTTTCTCTCATATGGCATACAAGCATAGGCACACACTCACCCATTCACACACACCCCTACCTCGGTATGCTTTTTAGAACCTATGGCATACAAGCATAGGCACACACACACCCACACACACACCCCTACCTCAGTGTGCTTTTTAGCACCTGACAGACTATCACTAAACTTCATCTGGAAAAATCGACAGGTAATAAGGAAAGACAGGACTACCCTTCTTTATGATGGCACAAGCTATGCTCTCTGCCACTCCAGGGGCTCCTCATATGGATCACAATAGGAAAGGTATCCCCTGGATGTGGGTTACATGGCCGTCCTGGGCCAGATCTGGCTTGGATTGCAATATATGATAGAGCTACAGTAATTAACCAAGTCAGCACAGGGGTTGGGATAGGCAGGTCACTGGGACAGATTTGAGGACAGCTGTCAGGTGATTCAGCCATTCTACACACGTCTGCCCCTAGACTACCAATTCCATTAGTCATTAGGGCAATGCAAATCAAAGCCACAATCAACCACCACTGCATCCTGTTAAAATGGATAAAATGAGAAAGACTGACCATACCACATGTTGCCAAGGTTGTAAATAACTAGAACTCACAAACATTACTAGTGAGAATATTAAATGCTGCAGACACTAGATAACAGTTTGGCAGTTTCTTTTTTTTCTTTTTTGAGACAGAGTCTCGCTCTGTCACCCAGGCTGGAGTACAAAGGCACGATTTCTGCTCACTGCAGCCTCCACCTCCTGGGTTCAAGTGATTCTCCTACCTCAGCCTCCCGAGCAGCTGGGACTACAGGCATGTGCCACCGCACCTGCTGATTTAACTTTTAAGAAACTGCTGCCCAGGCGCGGTGGCTCACGCCCATAATCCCAGCACTTTGGGAGGCCGAAGGGGGCAGATCACGAGGTCAGGAGTTCGAGACCAGCCTGGCCAACATGGAGAAACCCCGTCTCTACTAAAAATACAAAAATCAGCCGGGCGTGGTGGCACATGCCTGTAATCCCAGCTGCTCGGGAGGCTGAGGCAGGAGAATTGTTTGAACCCGGGAGGCAGAGGCCGCGGTGAGCCGGGATCACGACACTGCACTCCAGCCTGGGCAAAAGAGTGAGACTCCATCTCAAAAAAAAAGAGTTAAATCTCATATGATTCAGACATTTCACTTCTAGGTATTTACCCAAGAGAAATGAAAGCATACATCCACAGAAAGACTGAGGCAGGAATGTCCACGACAGCTTTGTTGGCCATAAGCGAAAACAAGAAGCAACCCAAATGTTCATTACTGTGGTTGGAACTTAATCCTCAATGTGGCAGTATTGAGAGGTGGGGCCTCTCATTGCTATGGTTGGAACTTAATCCTCAATGTGGCAGTATTGAGAGGTGGGGCCTGTAAGGGGTACTTGGATCATGAGGGCTCTGCCTTTATGAATGGATTAATGCATACATGAGATAATGGATTAATGATTTCATGGGTTAATGTGTTATCATGGGAGGAGAAATGGTGGCTTTATAATAAGAGGAAGAGTGACCTGAGCTAGCCATCAGCACACTCAGCCCCCTTGCCACGTGATGCCTCCAGACTCTGCAGAGTCCCCAACAGCAAGAAGGCTCTCACCAGATGTGCCCCCGAACCTTGCACTCCCCAGTCTCTATAACTGTAAGAAATGAATTTCTTTTCTCTATAAATTACCCAGATTTGGCCAGGCGCAGTGGCTCACGCCTGTAATCCTAGTACTTTGGGAGGCTGAGGTGGGTGGATCACCTGAGGTCAGGAGTTCGAGACCAGTCTGGCCAACATGGCGAAATCCCGTCTCTACTAAAAATGCAAAAATTAACCGAAGGCCAGGCCTGGTGGCTCACGCCTGTAATCCCAATACTTTAGGAGGCCGAGGCAGGCAGATCATCTGAGGTCAGGAATTTGATACCAGCCTGGTCAACATGGTGAAACCCCGTCTCTACTAAAAACCACAAAAATTAGCCAGGCATGGTGGCAGGCGCCTGTAATCCCAGCTACTTGGGAGGCTGAGGCAGGAGAATCGCTTGAACCCGGTGGGCAGAGGTTGAAGTGAGCCGAGATTGCGCCACTTCACTCAAGCCTGGGCAAAAGAGCAAGACTCCGTCTCAAAAAAAAAAAAAAAAATTACTCAGTTTCAGATATTCTGAGCAACAGAAAATGGACTAAGACATCCACCAACAGGTGAATGCATAACAAACTGATATATTCACACAATGCAATACTACTCAGCAATTAGAAGGAACCATTTATTGATACACCCAACGACAGTGATGAATCTTAAAACAGTCATGCTGAGAGAAGCCATACAAAAAAAGAGTACATACTGTGTAGACCATTTCTACAAAAATCTAGAAAATGCAGGCCAGGCATGGTGGCCCACGCCTATAATCCCAGCACTTTGGGAGGCTGAGGTGGGTGGATCATGAGGTCAGGAGTTCAAGACCAGCCTGGCCAAGATGGTGAAACCCCGTCTCTATTAAAAATACAAAAAATTAGCAGGGCGTGGTGGCGGGTACCTGTAATCCCCAGCTACTCCAGAGGCTGAGGCAGAGAATTGCTTAAACCTGGAGGGGCAGAGGTTGCAGTGAGCCGAGATCACGCCACTGCACTCCAGCCTAGGCGACAGGCAAGACTCTGTCTCAAAAATAAAATAAAATAAAATAAAATAATCTAGAAAATTCAAACTACTACATAGTGACGGAAAGCTGCTCAGCAGTTGCATGGGGGTGTAGGAGGAGGGATTAAAAAGAAACACGAGGAAACTTTGGAGGTGATGGATATGCTCAGTCTTGATTGTAGTGATATAAGTATATGTTATATGTATATGTTAAAACTTGTCAAGCCAGGTGTGGTGGCTCACACCTGTAATCCCAGCACTTTGGGAGGCCAAGGCGGGTGGATTGCCTGAGGTCAGGAGTTCGAGACCAGCCTGGCCAACATAGTGAAACCCCTGTCTCTACCAAAAATACAACAAAATAGCTGGGCATGGTGGTGGGCACCAGTAATCCCAGCTACTCGAGAGGCTGAGGCAGGAGAATTGCTTGAACCCAGGAGGTGGAGGTTGCAGTGAGCCAAGATGGCGCCATTGCACTCCTATCTGTGCAACAAGAGCGAGACTGTCTCAGAACAAAAAAAATAAAAATAAAAAAAAAAAACAAAACTTGTCAAATTGGGCCGGGCACAGTGGCAAACGCCTATAATCCCAGCACTTTGAGAGGCTGAGGTGGGCGGATCACCTGAGGTTGGGAGTTCAAGACCAGCCTGGCCAAAATGGCGAAAACCCACCTCTACTGAAAATACAAAAATTAGCAAAGCATGGTGGTGCAGGCCTACAGTTCCAGCCACTTGGGAGGCTGAGGCAGGAGAAGTCGCTTGAACCCAGGAGGCAGAGGTTGCAATGAGCTGAGATCATGCCATTGTATTCCAGCCTGGGCAACAAAGTAAGACACTCTCTCTCTCTCTCTCTAAATAAATAAATAAATAAATTTTAAAAATCAAGTATTTAAAAGCTATTATTATTATTATTATTTTTGAGACAGAGTCTCACTCTGTCGCCCAGGATGGAGTAAAGTTGTGCATTCTTGGCTCACACTGCAACCTCCGCCTCCCAGGTTCAAGCAATTTCTCCTGCCTCAGCCTCCCAAGTAGCTGGGATTACAGGCATCCATCACCATGGTGAGCTGGTTTTTGTATTTTTAGTAGAGATGGGGTTTCACCCTGTGGGCCAGGCTGGTCTCGAACTCTTGACCTCAGGTAATCCACCCGCCTCAGCCTCCCAGTGTTGGGATTACAAGCGTGAGCCACCGAGCCGGGCCCTAAAAATTATTTTAAAAGAAGCATCTTAATAATGGTTTTTGAATGGATGATGATTGGATGAGTTGGAATTGGAGCCCAATTATTTTACCTCCTAGTTATCTTTCTTATACCTCTTGTTTCCTTCCCTGTGAGATATCATTTATATAAGGATTTCTTAAAGTTAAAATTATTTTCATGTTGAACAGCCAAAAGCTGGCCCTAAGTGACTGTCCTGCTTCCAGGAACATTTTCCCTTTCAGTAGATAATTTCCTCAACCCACAACAATATGAATATGGAACACTTACCTTCCTTAATACTTCCTGACCGTTGAGTAGGGAAGGCCTGGGGAGGAGGAATCTGTGCTATGAGTGGCTGCTGAGGGAGCTGCTGAATGATGGTGGCAGGAGGCTGGGGGACCTAGGAACAGCCAGGTGATTAGCTATCTGCATATGTCCTTGAAGAAAGTGTCTCCAGTATCTACCACCCATCCATCCACCCACCCATCCAACCAACCAACCAACCAACCATCCACCCATCCATCCAACCAACCAACCAACCAACCAACCATCCACCCATCCATCCAACCAACCATCCACCCACTCATCCATCCACCCATCCATCCACCCACCCATCCATCCAACCAGCCAACCAACCATTCATCCACCCACCCATCCACCCATCCAACCAACCACCCACCCATCTATCCACCTACCCATCCATCCAACCAGCCAACCATCCAACCAGCCAACCAACCATTCATCCACCCACCCATCCATCCAACCAACCAACCATCCACCCACCCATCCATCCACCCACCCACCCACCCATCCATCCACCCATCCACCCATCCACCCACCCATCCATCCACCCATCCACCCATCCACCTACCCAACCAACCAACCAACCAACCACCCACCCATCCATCCACCCACCCATCCATCCAACCAGCCAACCATCTACCTACACATCCATTCATCCATCCAAGGAGAACTTTAAATGATTAACCCCAGACACTGAATAAATGGTTGAATGGAAAGGTACTTCAGTCTAGATATCACTTAGGATGTAGTATTTTTAATGTTTCCCACATTTCCTGTCTTTAGCGGGGTGGGCTGAGGCCTGGTTCCACCAATTCTGCTTTAATAGGAGCAACCAACACTTGGTATGGTGTTTTTGTTTTTTTTTGAGACAAAGTCTTGCTCTTGTCGCCCAGGCTGGAGTGCAATGGTACAACCTCAGCTCACTGCAACCTCCGCCTCCCAGGTTCTAGCGATTCTCATGCCTCAGCCTCCCGAGTAGCTGGGATTACAGGCGCCTGCCACCACGCCCGGCTAATTTTTGTGTTTTTAGTATAGACGGGGTTTCACCACGTTGGCCAGGCTGGTCTCGAACTCCTGACCTCAGGAGAGCCACCCATCCAACCAACCAACAGTGTCCAGGCAGGGGAAATGCAGTAGCGGTTGGCCACCTTGGCCTCCCAAAGTGCTGGGATTACAGGCATGAGCCACCATGCCCGGCCTGGTCAGTCTTTTTAATTGTAGCCACTTTAATAGAGATGCAGTGGTGGCTCACAGTGGCTTTAATTTGCATTTCCCTAATGACGGATGGTGTTGAGCATCTGGGGCAGACCCGTGGGTAGGATGGCCGCATCCCAACAGGCGTTCTCAATTCTGTCCCAGTGACCTCTCTATCCCAGCCCCCATAACAACTTGGTTAATTACTGTCCTCCATCATATACTGTAGTACATATATAGAACACGTCATGAAAATGAACTTTGGTTTCTCCTCTGAGTGAAAATAAATTATAGCCAAATATTCGAGCATGAAAGGCCTTCTGTTTTATCCTCTTCTAGCTGTGTGAGGCTGCCTGGCCTTGTCCCTTCTTCCTCAGTTCACAGAAAGGACGGCAGAGACCAAGAGTTGGCAAACTTTTGCCAAGAGCTACATCGTAAACAGCTTCCAAAGCAGGACACACCGTCAGCTCTTGAGTTGGCCATTGCAGCATGAAAGCAGCTACGGACAATGTGGAAACAAATGGGCCTGGCCCAATAAAACTTTATTTATGAACACTAAAATTAGCATTTCATATAATTTTCATATGTTGCAAAATATTATTATTGTATTGGCTTTTCCCCAAACATGTAAAAATGTAAAACCATTCTTGGCTTGCAGGTTGTGTGAGAATAGGAGGCAGGCCAGCTCCGGTCTGAAGCTGTGGTTTGCCCACCCCTGGCACAGACCCATGAGGCTTTCTTAGAGCTGCCGTGCCCGTCCTGGCTGATGGGACCTCCTACCTCAGGGGCTCTGAGTCCAGCTGCCAGGAAGCTCATCTTAGTGACCCACAGCCCCTGCTCACCCACCTGGTGTCACTGGGGCTGAGAGTGAAACCTGCAGGCATAACTGGCCCTGATGGATACACAGTAAGCATAGATGTGTTTGGGATGAGGAAGATGGGGGGTCCACAGCAATGACCCCCCGTACTCCCTTCTGTCCTGGGAGGAGGTTTCTGGTGCTGGAAGACAGGAAGGCACAGGCTGGGAATATCCAGAACCTGGTGAAGGCCACCCATCTGCAGAGGAGGGTCTGGGGCAGGTCCTTCGGAGGCTCCCCTTCCCTCTGTACCCTCCACCATGTGCTGCTGCCAGGGTCCCCTCCCAAAGGGCAAAAGCCTTCCAGGTCATAGACTCTGCTGCCCTGTCTAGAAATTCCCACCTCAGCCTCTTCTCTTCCACCTTCCCTGCACCCCAGTCACACGAATCCCACCAAAGCCTTGACCTCCGGGCCCCCAGCTTCCATCCCACCTCTGGGTGCCTGGTTTCCCTCTGATCCATTTTTTGCTTCAGAAAGTCAGAGTTGTTTTCTGCTGCCTGCCACCCAGAAGGCTGAACAGCTGTAGGAAGCTCTCAGAAGTGGAGCACTATTTACCTTTAACATTCTGCCCTTGACATTGGGGCCTTAAGCATCTCCTGGGCATGATAAAGTTTTTTTTTTGAGATGGAGTCTTGTAATCTCCTCTTTCTGGGCTCAAGCGATTCTCCTGCCTCAGCCTCCTGAGTAGCTGGGACTACAGGCATGCACCACCACGCCCAGCTAATTTTTGTATTTTTAGTAGAGACAGGATTTCACCAAGTTGCCCAGGCTGGTCTCAAACTCCTGACCTCAGGTGATCCGCCCGCCTCGGCCTCCCAAAGTGCTGGGAGTAGAGATGTGAGCCACCGCACCCGGCCAGTGATAAAGTTCTGAGGAGTTGACACACTTCCCCAAATTCAGGGCCGCCCGCTGAGCTCTCCTGATACTTCTGCCCCTAATGCAACATTTAAGGCCAGGGCTGGGGTTTGGGAGACAGAGCTGGGCCCCAGCCTTCCTCTGTGATGAGGGGTAAGCAGTCCGGGGAGGCCCAGGCAGTGCCCAGGCAGGCAGCTGGCCCCCTTCAAGGGTGGGCCTTGGGAGGATGGGGGTGACGAGGCAACCTCGCTGCAGGCACAGCGCCTCCTGCCTTCTGTAAAATCTTAATTCCGCACCCGCCTCCCACTCTCAGATGTGCTCCTCGACTTCGCCCTCTTACCGTAGGCAGGATGATCCTTGGCGGGTCTGGGGCCAGCGGGGATGGGGAGGCAGTGGGTAGGATGCCCGTGGGGGGCAGCTCTGGGGGCAGGGCTGACCCGAGGGCTCCTCTGCTTGGCCCGCTCCAGGCCTGGGCCCGAGAGAGCTCGTCCAGGAGGTGTTGTTCCTGCAAGGCCGATGCAGAGCTGCTGCACACGGGGACGGGGAGCCCCAACGCCACAGAGGCACCCCCAGCATCAGGCTCAGGCCAGCCTGGGCCAGGTACAGGCGCCTCTCCGGGCAGGATGGCCATGACTGGAAGACCCTTCCAGGGTTATGTGCATGAGGGTGGCCTCCTGAAATTGACCCAAGCGTGTCAGCTAGTTTCCAGTTGTTTTCTTTTTCCAGCCCCAGGGTCTGTTCTCTCTTTCAAGCCAGTTCCAGGCCTACTTTTTTCTAGGTCTCCCCCTAGAAAAGCGGCCCCACCTCCCCTGCATCTCTGCCACTCGGATGCATCTTTGGTGAGTGCCGTGGGAGCAAACCTCCAGGCATCCCAGAATTTCAGGTCCTCCTGGAATTGGGCCCTTACTCAACATTTCCAGTCCTGATGGAAACCTGCACCCAGGCAGGTCTCTAAGCTAACAGTGTCCTTGCTGGGGCCTGGCCCTGAGAGTCTGGAAAGGTCTTCCCTAATACTCCCCGACCTGGTGCCTTAAGGCTGAGCAGCTATCTCTGCTACAGTGAGCTCAGCCAGGTTCGCTCAGAGGGTGCAGGGCCTACCCGGAGTCTCTGCAGAAGGTCCCTCCTTCTCTTCAGAGCAGTCTGCAGGGCATCGTCCGGCCGGTCCTCATTTCCTGGAGGGAAGAACCTGCTTGCTTACCAAGGAACGCGTAGAGGCTGTCGCTGCAAGCACTCGGACTGGATGGTACTGCACCCATGTCGGAAGGCCCTGCCTCACCCACACTCCCAGGATGGGGGAGGCCTGGGAGGATCCTGGTCTTAGGTTATCCCAGATAAAGAGGGACCAGTGTTGGGTAAGGAGGGCAAGGGGCAGCATCAGGGGAGGGGTAATCCAGGGAACTCAGTGCTGGAGGATGGTCATCTCATTCCTGGAAGGGAGGCTGAAATGACGCGACCAGGTTCCTCCTGAGTGCATTTCATACAGAGTGCCCTGGGCTCCAGGAGGTCAAGGGCTCTACAGGGCTGGCTGCAGCCTGACCTTGGCCACCTGGAGCCACCCTCTGGCCCCAAGTGGTCTAGAGTCTGGTCTGATCCCCAAGTATCTGCACATCCCTCAAGTCTGCCCCCTAGTCCGGGCGTGGTGGCTCATGCCTGTCATCTCAACAGTGGGAGGTTGCACTGGGAGGATTGCTTGATCCCAGGAGGTCGGGGGTGCAGTGAATTGTGATCAGGCCACTGCACTCCATCCTGGGCAACAGAGCGAGACCAACCCTGTCTCAGGAATAAAAAAAAAAAATCTGGCCAGGTGCAGTGAGTCACACCTATAATCTCAGCACTTTAGGAGGCCGAGGTGGGTGGATTACTTCAGGCCGGGAGTTTGAGACGAGCCTGGCGAACATGGCAAAACCCCTTCTCTACTAAAAATACAAAAGTTGGCCAGGCATGGTGGAGCGCACCTGTAATCTCAGCTACTCGGGAGGCTGAGGCACAAGAATTGTTTGAACCTCAGAGGCGGAGGTTGCAGTGATCTGAGATTGCACCACTGCACTCCAGCCTGGGCAATAGAGTGAGACTCCATCTCAAAAAAAAGAAAAAGTCTACATTCCTTGGGGGAGGGTCTACACTCAAGAGAAGGCTCCGGAAGGTGGGGGGCAGGGTTCTGGCCTCCTTTCCCTTAGGCACAGGGGTCCTGCCCCTCACCCAGCATCACACTGGAGAGGGGCCGTTGGGAACCCTAGCCAGCCCTTGGGGGGGTCCCCAAACCCTCTGCCCCAGGCACTGGTAGCCATTCTATTCCCTCGCACTGGCTCTGCAGTCAGGGGACCTGGTTTGGGATTTTCTCTCTGTATTTGAGACTGGGCTCTGCCCTTGGCAGCTGAGCCCCCACAGCTCACAGCTTGCCCCACGTTCCAAAGAACAAGAAATGCTCCTCTGGCCTCCTCAGCTTCTCCCTGGACGTCCCCGGGTAACAGTGAGGACAGCAGCTCCTCCCCAACCAATGGACAAGCTCAGGGTCTGGAACCAGAGCAACTGGGTCTGATCTGGGTGCGACCACTGCCAGGGTGAGCAACCTCTCTGCCTCCATTTTCTCATCTGCAAAATGGGAACAATGAAGGTGCCCCTTTTTGGGGTTTGCAGACTAAAGGTGATAAGGAATGGGGGTGTCTTCAACTCTGAATGTAAAGGAAAAGCGTTGAGGACAATCTCGCCGGTACCAGGAGTGGGGGTGATTCCCAGAGTTGCTGTCCCCACCTCCCCCTGGAGGTGGCTCCCCCTGGAGTGGCTACACTTGCGTCTGTCTGTGCTGGTTCCAAGCAGCCCAGGGGCTCTCACCTGGCTCGAGGTGGAGGCCCTCAGGTCCCCCTTCCACGTTCTGCCGTTCTTGCTCCAGCTTCTGTGAGGAAGAGAGACCGTGACAGAGACGGTGGCTCCACGCAAAGGCCCTGTGTGCTCCAGGAATGACTAAGAGGCTTTCTGAGTGAAAAGAATGGTACGTCAGGAGTAACCCAGCCTCTCCAGGGCCAACAGGCGGGAGTCAAGCCCCTCCGAGGATCTCCCTGAGCTGCCTCTGTAAGCCTGACCTCTAGCAAATTCATGTGTTCCATCCACAAGTCTAGGGGCGGATGCTCTGAGTGGTCCCTTCAGGCAGATTTCTGAAGAGCAACCCTGGGAGACACCTCACTGGTGAGGCCTCCAGGCTTCCCAGCCAGTGCATGCCTAGATCACCCCCCACCTGAACCCTGAGCTGAGCAGCTACCTGCTGGGTGTGTCCAGGGGTGAGTCCCTCTCATGGCGGCCTGTGGGCCAGGATGCAGGGCTGGCGAAAGGTGGGCAGCAGGTCCCTCAGGCAGCAGGAGAGGGAACAATGCAGGCAGGGGGTGCAGAGGTGCCCCCAGGCACCGAGGCTCCCCAGACCCTGTGCTCAGTGGCCTGCGAGGACAGGCAGGTCGGTCATGGGCCACCCAGACCCTCAGAGAATGTGAAGACTAAGTCTGAGGATGGGTCCGCTGGGCTGCCAGCCCCAGGCCTAGCCCTTGGGGCCCTGCATTCTGCACCTGCAGGGCTGTCTCGAAGAGTCCCTCCAACGCCACAGCCTGCGAGTTGTTAAAAACAGGAGCATCCCGGGCTCTGCCTCACCTGTCCCAAGAGCTTCAGCGTCAGTCGGGTCACTTGCTCTGCTGCTGATGAGTCCAGCATGGTGGGAGCTGCAGGAGACGACTGTAGGGGCAGGGGAGGCCACAGCCCACCTCCCTCCCTGGTTCTGTTACTCGCAGGAAAGAACTGCTCAGCAGGAGCCCAAGCACCGGTGTTGCCTGCAGGGCGGGCCTTACCTCCTGGAGACCAGCCTGAGGGAAGAGAAGAGCCCTGTGGGAAGATAGCCACACCCTCCCTGGACTGCAGTGCCCCAGAAGCCAGCGCTGGGCGCCGCGTGACAGTTGCCAGGCTGCCAGACACAGGGAGGCCCCAGGTTGCCAGGTTTCCACTGTGCGTCCTCAGGCTACCGGTAAACACTCATCCCCAGGTGTGGCCAGCTGGGCTTCATGGGAAGGCAAAAAAGTGGGCAGCAGCTGAGGCAGAGGGGCAGAACCCTCAGACCTGGGGGAAGGGCAGTCGTGACCCCCTATGCACCACCAGCCTCAGGACCCAGTCCAGAAGAACCTGTGTGTCAGGGGAGGGCGCCCCACCTGTGTACTGCCTCCAGGGTGTTAATACCTCCCTCCTAGGGACCCTCAGAGCAAGCAGGGAAGACAGGGTGGGGAGACACTGGGAGGACAGGGTGAGGAGACTGCCTACCAAGGAGTTCAGGAAATTGCAGGCAGCAGAAGGGGTAGGACAGAGGAGGGGTTGTGACCTGCAGAGGGGCTGGGCTTTAGCAGGACCAGAGGGGGTGCCCAGGGGATATGTCCCACCTTGGGGCTGGGGGCACTGGGCAGGGAGTCAAGTTTGCAGGAAGCTTCGCAGAGGGTGACGCAAAACAGGAGCGTGGTCTGCACTTGGTTGGGCATTAAACTCCACGTTGATGAGTTAGTCAATCCCACTAGCAGGCAGACTGACATGTGGGGGATGTCAGCAGCAGGGGCCCAGACCTGTGGACCCGAGGGGCAGAGGTCAGCACCCTCCTCGGTGCAGCTAACCCAGGAACTTGCCTCAGTGGCCAAAATTGCTCTCTTGCCCTCAGTTCTGTAAATGGCCCATGTCCATCAGTATCTATGGTTGTGTGCCTGTCCTGTCTTCCAACCCACATCCATGTAGGGACCCTGAAGCTGGACCAGTGAGTGATTGGGTGAAGGCTGGCTAGCCCGTAGGAGGTCAGGCTCACAGAGGCAGCTCATGGAGATCCTTGGAGGGGCGCACCTTACTCCTGCTGGCCCTGGAGGGGCTGGATTACTCCTGACGTAGAGTTCAACTCACCTTACCCTGGAGGCCATCCAACCAGAAATGAAGTCAGCATGAAACCAGGCCTTACCCTCCCTCCAGATCTGTGGAGGGTGTGGGCTAGGGTCACATGACCTGCCTGGTGCCACACATTCCCAGATGGCAGTCAGGGGTCCTCGCTGGTGCTGCTGGACATGAGCAGACTCTGGCCCCATGTTTAAGATCCCAGTGCCATTGGGCGTTGGCTCACGCCTGTAATCTCAGTGCTTTGGGAGGCCAAGGCAGAAGGATCACTTGAGTCCACGAGTTGGAGACCAGCCGGCACAACACAACAAGACCCCATCTCTATAAAAAATAATAAAAAAGGGCCAGGTGCGGTGGCTCATGCCTGTAATCCCAGCACTTAGGGAGGCTGAGGCAGGCAGATCACGAGGTCAGGAGGTCGAGACAACCTGGCCAACATGGTGAAACCCCGTCTCTACTAAAAATACAAAAAATTAGCCAGGCGTCGTGGTAGGCGCCTGTAATCCCAGCTACTCGGGAGGCTGAGGCAGGAGAATTGCTTGAAATCGGAAGGCAGAGTTTGCAGTGACCCAAGATTGCGCCACAGCACTCCAGCCTGGGCAACAAGAGCAAAACCTCCGTCTGGAAAAAAAATAAAAAAAATAAAAAAATAAATAAACAAGATAATAAAAGAACCTGGCTCTTGTCCACAGTCATTAACAGTGACAGTCTTGGGAGACATTTAAACAGCTCTGAGTGTGCACAGAACAAAAACCAGGTTAATTTAGTTAAGCAACTGTATAGAGCACCCTTGATATAAGTGACCTCATCTGAGAAAAGGACTCCATCTTATGTATTTTTTTTTGAGATGGAGTTTTGCTCGTTGCCCAGGCTGGAGTGCAGAGGTGGAGCCATCTCAGCTCACTGCAACCTCCGCCTCCCGGGTTCAAGTGATTCTCCTGCCTCAGCCTCCCGAGTAGCTGGGAGTACAGGTGCACGCCACCACGCCCAGTTAATCTTTGTATTTTTGGTAGAGATGGGGTTTCACCATGTTGGCCAGACTGGTCTCGAACTCCTGACCTCAAGTGATCTGCCGTCTTGGCCTCCCAAAGTGCTAGGATTAGAGGTGTGAGCCATAGCACCTGGCCCCTGATGCCTTTTAAATTATAAGATAGGGCCAGGCAGGCGGAAGTTGCAGTGAGCCAAGGTGGCACCACTACTGCACTCCATCCTGGGCAACAAGAGTGTAACTCCACCTCAAAAAAAAAAAAAAAAAAAAAAAAAGGGTATCAGGCCAACAGGGACCAGATGTTTCCTCATCAGTAGATACTGCACCCACCCAGATAAAGACATAAACAAGACACTCTTACTATCAGTCCTTACCAGAGTACTCTATGGCCATGAAAAGAGCAGAACACCACCAGGTCAAAGTGGCCGTTTTACAGACAGTCTTGCTGTCACTTGTGAGAAGCCCTCCACATCTGCTGCTGCAGGCTCTGCCCACATCAGAGATGCTTCCTTGCCAGATTCTCCTTTTCGTTGAACTGGTTAACTTTTTTTCCTCTCCTCTTTCTCTTGATGTGGAATGTTTATAACATTTATGCAGTGGTCAAGTATACTATTATGTATGGTTTGTAATACTGACTGACTTAAGGAGAGACTTGAGCCTGTGTGCCCACAGCTGTGACTGCCAAGTGAATGGGAAGCACTAAGAATTGCCTCCTCGGGATCTCTAGTAGTATACATAACATGCTCCAGAGGGCATGGATTTGTCAGACTTTTTTTTTAAATAGGGTTTTTAAGAACAGTTTTAGATTTAGAGTAATTGAGAAGATAGTACATGGAGATCCCACATACCACATGTGTGGCTTCCCCTCTTATTAACATCTTACCTTAGTGTGCTACATATGTTATATATATATATATTTTTTTTGAGACAGAGTCTCGCTGCGACGCCCAGGCTAGAGTGCAATGGTGCAATCTTGGCTCACTGCAACCTCTGCTTCCCAGTTTCAAGCGATTCTTCTGCCTCAGCCTCTCGAGTAGCTGGGACTACAGGTACGTGCCATCATGCCCAGCTAATTTTTGAGTGAAAGCCAGTGCACCTGGCCCATTTGTTATGATTAATGAACCAATATTGAGACACAAGTAACTGAAGTCCACACTTTGACAGTTTCCTTAGGTTTGCCTCATGTCCCTAATGTGGTATCCATCAGAACACCCCATTACATTGAGTTATGTGTCTTTAGGCTCCTTCTCAGACTTTCCTCGTTTTTGATGACCTTGACAGTTTCGAAGAGTACTGGGCAGATATTTTGAAGAATGTCCCTCAATTAAAATGTGTCTATTATCTCCTGGTTAGACTGGGACTGCAGGTTACAGAAAGGAAGCATCTAGGGGTGAAGTGCCACTGTCACCCCATCACATCAGGGACACACACTGTCACCTCGACTATAACTGTGAGGCTGACCTGCGTCACTTGGCTGAGGTGGAGTCTGCCAGTTTTCTCCACAATAAAGTGGCTCTTTCCCTCCTTTTCTTTATTGCACTCTTTGGGAGGAAGTGGCTATGTGTGGTCTACACTTAAGGAGAGGGGAGTTACGTTTCCCTCCTTGAGGGTGAGTATCTACAAAATTTATCTGGGCAGCTTTTTTTTTTTTTTTTTTTTGAGTTAGGGTCTCAGTCTGTCACCCAGGTTGGAGTGCAGTGGTTGCCTGGCCTTGACAGCTTTTTAATAGTTTAAAATGAATTGAGGCTGGGCGAGGTTGCTCATGCCTGTAACTCCAGCACTTTGAGAGGCCAAGGCAGGTGGATCACTTGAGCCCAGGAGTTCAAGACCAGCCTGGGCAACACAGTGAGACCCTGTGTCTACTAAAAATACAAAAATTAGCTGGGCATGGTGGTGTGCCTGTAATTCCAGCTGCTCAGGAGGCTGACATGGAGAATCACCTGAGCCCGGGGAAGTTGAGGCTGCAATGAGCGGTGGTCTCACCACTGCACTCTAGCCTGTGTGACAGACTGAGACCCTGCCTATAAAAAAGAAAAGAAAAAAGAACTGAAATAAGACCCAAGTCCAACATTAGCAGAACCTCTCTAGGATGTCCACAGAAACGACTCTGGGGTTCTGAGGAACACAGTCTAGGCAAACCTGGGCACATCCCCTCAGTCCCACAGTTGTAAATGTATTGTAACACGTAACAGTTGTGAGATTCAGGCGCGGTCTGGGTCTCTGTTCCTGGAAAGTGTGATCCTGTGGGTGCAGCCCCTGCTCGCTTGGCTGTGTTGCCTGCCTGGCCCCTGCTCTAATGAGCCCACTGCCCAGAGTTTGCTCAAACCACCCAATTCCGAGTCTGGGAACCAGGAGACCGCTGGACACCCCGCTCACCACACAGAAGACTGTGGCCTGAGTCAGGAGAAGGAAGTTTCTGGCGGTCGAGCTTCCACGGCTTCCTGAGGGAGGTTGCAGGGAGCCGAGATCGCGCCATTGCGCTATAGCCTGGGCGTCGCAGCGAGACTGTCTCAAAAAAAGAAAAAAAATTCTGAGCGAGATTCCAGGGCTTCCTGAGGGCGCGTTTAAGTTGCAGTTGCTGAGGAGGCTGCAAGGTGAGCTTGCGTCAGCGAGGAGCCACTCCAGCACGCTCGGGAAGGGCATCGTTACTGCTGCAAACAAGCACACGGCCCTCCACGACGAACCTTTTGCAAGTGAAGGCGCACGAACAGGCCCGGAGGACTACAAAGAAACCCAGAAACCAGACTTGGACACATGAAATAAAGGGGTTAGCTGAAGGAATACTCCACAGTTAAGGACGGCCTGCGCGAGGTCACCGGCCCTGTCTTGGTTTTTTGCCACTTCGCTCCAGTTAGTTTCCCAAGTTCCACCTACGCGCGCGCCAGCTGAGAAAACGCCCACCCCGGCGGTCCCGCCACAGGTCACAGGCGGTGCGGACCCCGGGACTGTGTCCGGGCTTCGGTGTCCAGAGAGCTCCAAGACACCCAAACCTTCCGTGGTTTCCACCTCTGCAAGCTTATGTTCCGCTGAGCTCAAGCTGAGGGACGACGACCTCATGCGACGTCAGTTTCCCCCTGGGACCACGAACCCACGGCCCCATTTCTCTTCTGTCTACTAAAAACCTTTTCTTTTCTTTTTTTTTTGAGACCTAAGACATCAGTGAGACACACGAGCAGACACGGGCTCGGTCGGGAAAGGCGGGAGCTCCAAGCGGCGGGGCCTGCAGGTCCAGGCGGTTCGCGGGCTTTCTGACCGCATTCGGCCGAGTTCTTCTCTGAAGACCCAGGACCCCCGGCCGAGGGGGCGCATTCGGCGGGCTGGTGGCGTAGGATTTTGTTTCGGGTTCCCAGGGTCCCGGCAAGGGTGAGGGAGCCCTTGCGGATCCCCTGAGATCCACCTCAGCAGCCTCCTCCGTGGTAGGCCTCAACTTCCCGCGGCGGCCCACAGCCAACGACTAATGCCTGAGCGGGAGAAAACGGCCTGGCCCTGTCCGGGTGGTTGCTGAGCACCGTTCGGCGCCGCCCGCGCCTGCAGGGAGCCCGGCCCGCTGTCCTGGTGGACACAAAGCCCAGGGGCCGCCCGCGCGGGACCAGCAGCGCGAACTTTTTGCCGCTCGGCCAGCCTGGCAGGGGATTTTAAAATCGGCCAATCACAGCGGGCGCCAGGCCTCCGCTTTCCGCTTACTGGTCCTGCCGTAGGAGGCGGGTACGTGAGCGCACCAATCTGTGGCCGGCGAGCGTAAAGGGCGGGGCTCCGCCCAGGCTGCACCGCCCAGAGCGCGCGTGCGCGAGACCGGAAACGCAGCCCCCTGATTGGCGGCGCGTGTCGGGGGCGGGGCCGCGGCTGCGTGACAGTTGTCGCGGGGGGAGGGCGAGCCCAAGCGCGGGGGAGGGAGTGTAAATAGAGCGAAGGCTGCTCTGTGTCAGCCCCGTCACCGCCGGGCGGCCCGCGCGGAGTCTGAGGGAGATGGAAGTTGAGCAAGAGCAGCGGCGCAGAAAGGTGGAGGCCGGGAGGACGAAGGTAAACATTAGGGGCTTCTTCTCTAGCTGCTCTGGCGTGAAGTCCTAAGGGCGGCTCCGGTGCCCGCCACCGCCCCCTGCCAGGAGAGGACGCGGTCCGGCGGAAGCCGCCGCGGAGGTCTCGCTTTTTCCCGCCGGCTCCGCTGGAAGCCGCCTCCTGGCCGCCGCCATCTTGAATCCGCCGCTCTCCGCCAGGTCCCGCCCCCGCCGCGGCCACAGCCAATCAGCGGCCGGGACGCGCGGCGCCTCTCGGGCGGGCCGGGGCGGGGCTGCGCCTGCGTCGGGGGGGGTGGGGCGCGGGCTGGGCGCGGTGCACGCCGGGGCGGGGTGTGGCTGCAGGGCGGGGCTACAGGGGCGTGGCGTGGCTGCACGGAGGGGGTGGGGCGCGGCAGGCGCTGGACCCCAGGCTGGATCTTCCAGTGGCTCCCGCGTCCTCCGGGACCGGGTGGCCTGGGGCGGGCGGCCGGTATTCGGGTGGCTGCTTGGTCTAGGGCCAGTTTCCTGCGCGGCCGGGGCCGGGGGCGTGGCGCGGGTGGCCTGCAGCGCCTCCCCAGGGTGCGCCTTCGCCTCGTCCGTCGGAGATGCTTTCCCCGCGCGTTTCTCGCGGCGTTGCAGTCCTTACTGTGTGAAAGGCCCCCGCGGCGCTCCCGGCCGCCGTCTTCTTCCCGCGCCCTTGGGCTCGCGTCCTGCCCGTCCGGGCCTGGCGTACGCTGCCGGGAACCCACGCGGCGCTGGCGCCGGGCGCCTTCAAGGGACGCGCTCCCGTCTTTCTCCCGCCCCGGGTTTCTCCGTGAAAAAGCGCTCGGTTTGATGGCCACTGTCCTAGGTTTCGTGGGAATAAAGCGCGCAGAGCCCATGACTCGGGGGCAGGAGAAAGGGAGTCCCGAAAGCGCGAGGCGGAACCGCGGGAGCAGGCCGGCCTCTGCGAGGTGCGCGCCGCTCCCCCCCAGGATGTTCTGGCTGGGGTGCTGGGGAAGAGCGGGGCTCCCGGGCACGGCGGACAGGGGACGCGGGGCTAGGCCGGGGAAGGGCTGAGGCGGGCAGGAGGGGAAGGGGAGCCCGGAGCCTGCAGGGAGCTGCGAACAGGAGCAGAGCTCCCAGGAGGGTGGAGGGGGGAGGGAGGGACAAGACGCCGCCTGTAGGGCGACGCAGGCCGCAGACCAGGTCTGTGCTATATCCCGACATGGATAGGTGTGGTGGAGGAGGACATGAAAATAAACGACATGAGGTTGACTTTGAAGGAAATATTTCCTTGAGAGACCATTTTCTTGTGTAAATGGCCTTGTGTAATTTTTCTGGGTCCATGAGCTTGTGTACTTGTGTTATCATTTACACAAATGTGTGTTCCATGCGTTTGTTTTTGTGGCCACAGTTGTCTTTTGAGGGAACAGATGTCTCCCCGTGAAAGGCTGATGTGGGATCGATCGCATACCTCTTGAGTAAGACGTTAGCGGGAGATGAGGCTCGCACATAGTCTCAAACTCTCGGATTTGAGGACTGAGCAGAGCTAGGCTGTGCCTTCTGATGGGCGATGCTCTGTGGATGTCCCTGGTGCTTTGGTGAGCTGTGTCATGAAAAATAGAACATCTGATTCCATAAAGGAAGATGTGAGATTGACCTGGCTTAATTAATTTTTTGCTATTTCTGTATCTTGTCTCAGAATCTATGGCTAGGAAGTTTTGGCTGGGCTATATATTTCTTCAGTTGGGGGAAAATTGGGGCAAGAAGGGAGAGATTTAGCTTTTATATCATTTTAAAACTTAAATATGCCTTGATTAAGCTATCAATCTTTTATACAAATTTTTTTTAAAGTTTTATTTTTCTGTAAACTGCCAAGGGCTAGGAAAGCTATTCTGCCAATCAGCCGTATGGTTTTCTTTACCAGGCATAATTAGCAGTCCTCATTGTTAGACCCCTTGGATATAGATATTGATGAAGGCAGTGTTTGTGGAGAGCCATCTGTTGGCCAGGTGTGGCAGAGTAGACTGGGTCAGC
Organism: Homo sapiens; assembly: GCF_000001405.40. Lineage (NCBI taxonomy): Eukaryota > Metazoa > Chordata > Mammalia > Primates > Hominidae > Homo > Homo sapiens. The sequence continues at coordinate 46,326,277 of NC_000021.9, forward strand.
CCTCGGGCCTCATGGTCCCCACCAGTCTGTTGACTTTGTGGTTCTGTTATTTTTTTCTCACTTACCTTTGCCTTTACTACTTATCTACATTTTTGCGCAGCTTGCTCACTTCCGACAGAGAAAAACAAAAGGTGACAGTTCGCATTCGGAGAAAAAGACGGCGAAGAGGAAGGGCTCGGCTGTCGATGCGTCTGTCCAGGAGGAGAGTCCGGTAACCAAGGAGGACAGCGCACTCTGTGGAGGAGGGGACATTTGCAAAAGCACATCATGTGACGACACCCCTGATGGGGCAGGAGGGGCCTTTGCAGCTCAGGTAGATTTGCTCAATGTTGTATTTGAACATTTCGCTTATCTTCTAGTGATTTCTAGTGTGATTTACTAAAGATGGTCTTTGGTCTGTTTTTGCCTTTCAAAAGTGAGGAAAGAGGGTGTTATTTTAGTTTATAAAAAGTGAGGGCCGGGTGCAGTGGCTTACGCCTGTAATCCCCGCACTTTGGGAGGCCGAGGCAGGCGGATCACCTGAGGTCAGGAGTTCCAGACCAGCCTGGCCAACATGGAGAAACCCTGTCTATACTAAAAATACAAAAATTAGCCGGACATCTGGCGCACACCTGTAATCCCAGCTACTCGGGAGGTTGAGGGAGGAGAATAGCTTCAACTTGTGAGGCAGAGGTTGCATTGAGCCGAGATCACGCCAATGCACTCCAGACTGGGTGACAGAGCGAGACTCTCTCTCAAAAAAAAAAAAACAGTGAGTAAATTTTTATGGTTTTATTCTTTTTATTTTATTTTTTATTTTTTTGAGATGGATTCTCGCTCTGTCTCCCAGGCTGGAGTGCAGTGGCGCGATCTCGGCTCACTGCAAGCTCCGCCTCCCGGGTTCATGCCATTCTCCTGCCTCAGCCTCCCAAGTAGCTGGGACTACAGGCGCCCGCCACCACGCCCGGCTAGTTTTTGTATTTTTAATAGAGGTGGGGTTTCACTGTGTTAGCCAGGATGGTCTCAATCTCCTGACCTCGTGATCTGCCCGCCTCGGCCTCCCAAAGTGCTGGGATTATAGGCATGAGCCACCGTGCCCGGCCTATGGTTTTATTCTTAATAAATTTGGGTTTTCTTTTTCTTTTTTTTTCTTTTGTTTGTTCCAGACAGTGTTTTGCTGTGTTGCCCAGCCTGGAGTGCAGTGGTGTGATCACAGGTCACTGCAGCCTCAAACCCCTGGGCTCAAGTGATCCTCCCTCCTCAGCCTCTTAAAGTGTTGGGATTATAGGCATGAGCCACTGCGCCTGGCCCTGTTTTATCTTTATTATGTAATTTTGAGAAGTTTTGGATTAACTACTTGAAGACAAGTGTCAGTTGTTTGCTTTGTAATGGAAGACTGGGAGTTCTTCGTGTGTGGTCGTGTCAGCCCCTTTGATGGGTGTTTCTTGGGACATTTAAAACATAATATTCCTTCACATAGTTGTAAATGCACCTGCTTGTCACATTTGTCTTTTACCTTTTTACTAAACGTGAGATGAAGAGGGAAGGGGTGAAGGTGTTGCAGACATGGTGTGTTGCTGGAGGAGACTGGGTCTGCTGCTTGAGGCCTTGTGAGCTGCAGGGGCACCCCCATGGGCAGGTGTGGCAGGTGAGTGCACACTGAGTCCTGAAGGGGCTGGCCTTCCGGGCTCCTTGGGGGCCTACAAACCTGCCTGGAGGCGGGCTGTCCTTGGGCCTTTTGTATGAATTATGAACGAGGGCCTTAGGTGTTGAGTGTCCCTGCTGCTGCAGCAGAATGGGTGCAGGCTTTGATGTTTGCTAGGATTTGCTGGAAAACTGGTGGCCAAAGGCAGAATCTGGCTCAAGGTCATAATGTATGTATCCTGCTTTACTTAAAAAATTGAGTTGTTGGCAACAGTTAAAATTTGTGTTATTCTACCTACAAATCCTGAATTTTGCTTTTTATCTCTTGAGTGTTTTTGGTTGTTGGGTTGGTGTGTTTTTTTTTTTTTTCCCGTTTTCTTTTTAAGATACAGTCTCTCTGTTGCCCAGGCTGGAGCGCAGTGACGCGAACTCTGCTCAGTGCAACCTCTGCCTCCCAGGCTGAAGCGATCTTCCTGCCTCAGGCTCCCAAAGTGCCAGGATTACAGGATTTCTGCCACCTTGCTGGGCAGAAAGTTACTTTTGATATATTCTGGTTGCATATGTTTTTTGGTTTTTTTTGAAATGGAGTCTCACTCTTTTGCCCAGGCTGGAGTGCAGTGGTGCAGTCCTGGCTCACTGTAACCTCTGCCTCCTGGGTTCAAGCGATTTTCCTGCGTCAGCCTCCCGTGTAGCTGGGATTGCAGGCGCCTGCCACCAAACCCAGCTAATTTTTGTATTTTTAGTAGAGACAGGGTTTCACCATGTTGGTCAGGCTGGTCTTCAACTCCTGACCTCAAGCAATCCACCCACCTTGGCCTCCCAAAGTGCTGGGATTACAGGCGTGAGCCACTGCACCCGGCCCTCTGGTTGCACATACTTTTTTTTTTTCTTTAAGGCGAAGTCTCACTCTGTCATCCAGGCTGGAGTGCAGCGGCACGCCCTCTGCTTCCTGCAACCTCTGCCTCCCGATTTCAAGCGTTTCTCCTGCATCAGCCTCCCGAGTAGCTGGGATTACAAGTGGGCACCACCATGGCCGGCTAATTTTTGTATTTGTTTGGTTGAGATGGGGTTTCACCACATTGGCCAGGCTGGTCTCGAACTCCTGACCTCGTGATCCACCTGCCTCGGCCTCCCAAAGTGTGGGGATTACAGGCGTGAGCCACTGTGCCTGGCCTGCATAGACGTTTTAAAAGTAGTAAGCTGATAAATATATGTGGGAATCTCAGGATCCTATCAGAAAACCATTCCAAACTTAGCACATTTTGTGGTAAATTGTATTTGGAGACTGATGGGTCGTTAACATTAGAAGGCATGGTATAGACTCCTGATTAAACACTCATACTTTGCTGTTTCATCAGGTAGAGACTCTCTTAGTTTCTAACTCTGCTATTTGATGCATGCCTTCATTCAGGAAGATGATCTGATGAAAAGCATTTTGATTTTTGTTTTCAAAACCAGAAGGGCATATACCAGAAAATTAACAGTGGTGGTCAGAAAGGAATAGAGTTGTTGGTTTTTTCGTTGTTATGGTTTTTGGTATTTCCTACAATAAACACATTAGGTTACTTATATAACATTTTTTTTCATTTTAGAATTAACTATACCACTAATAAAACATGTATTTTGGACATCTTAAAGCAATCTATAAATAACAGGCCCATTACTGGTCCCCTTGACTTAGAGATGCACACGCACACTCACTGCACTTGCTGCATTTTGTGTCACCTCCTCGTGACCACAGTGGACAGGACACTTCACCCTCAAGCGTGGGGTGGTGTGGCAGATGTGAGGAGAGGTCTGCTTTCACAAAACTTGGTGAAACAATGGCAAGATGGCCAAGGTAAAGCATTCTGTTACTTATAACTGTTGCTGTGAGTAGTAACTTAACTGTTTAAAGCAGTATTTTAAAAACCAAAAGCTGGTAAAATGTAAGGATACTTTCTCTAGGAAAAGTATGTGCTCCTGCAGCCAGGATTCTTCATGGAATGAAGGCATGGCAGGGCCTGACTGATTTTCATCTCACATCGTCATCCTGAACTCCTCTGCACAGTTACAGCTTGACATCAGCAGAGACATACCTCCTCTTCCTGTCCATTGGCTCTAAAATGGTGGGCAAAGGTCAGGTACCAGTCAGCTTTTTCCACAGAATTCCTGACATTTTAATAAGCTAAACATGCAGTCATCAGGTATTAACCCCTATTGGATCTTGGACATCAGCTTTTTCCCCCTTTTTTTTGAGATAGGGTCTTGTTTTCTTGACCAGGCTGGAGTGCAGTGGCGCAATCATGGCTCATTCCAGCCTTGACCTCCTGGCCTCAAGTGACCCTCCTGCCTCAGCCTCCCTAGTACCTGGGACTACAGGCATGTGCCACCATACCTGGCTAACTTAAAAAAAAATTTGTAGAGACAGTGTTACACTGTGTTGTCAGGGCTGGTCTCAAACTCCTGTGCTCAAGTAATTCTCCCACCTCGGCCTCCCAAAGTGCTGGAATTATAGGTGTGAGCCATCCCACCTGGCTAAAATTTATTTTCTTTATACATGTATAGGTAAACTAAGTAGTATGTGTAGAATAGAGCCATTGTCTTTCTGCTGTACACTAAGTTAGGAATCAAATTTCTTAAGCCATTTTGTCAATTATGTATATAAAAACCATTGGTGCTTTAGAAGCAGATATTTCATTAACTTTTTTCTGATTATATCATTGTACATCATCAGTTCAGTCTAAAAAGGAGTTTTTTTCATATGTATTATAAAATATTTCATGATATTTGAGTTTAGTATGCCTTTAATCCAGTTGTAGATGTTAAAATAGGAGTAATTTTGTGTTCAAAATAATGATCTTCTGAAAAGTGAAATTCTAGGAAAGAGTCCACTGTTTAAAGCTAGCAGCTGGTGGCCGTGTGGCCGAATAATGTCCCAGGCCAGGGCACTCCCCTCTCAGATGGTTGGTCATGCTGCGTCGGAGATCAGGAATCCTCAAGGAACCTTTATGTTATAGTTGTACCAGTGCTTTAAACATAATGAAAGGTGCATTTGTTTTATTTTACCCATCTATAAATTGTGAGAGGTTTGGCTATGGAGAGTCTAGTGAGCTTATTGAACAGCATAAGAAGATAAGTGTGTGTGTTTGTGTGTGTGTGAGAGTGTGTGTATGTGTGTGTGAGGGGGAGGGAGAAGTTATTGTGCTTTCCAACATATAATAAATTGCTTACTTTGATCACTAACTGTTAGGTAAATACTGATGATTTCTAGCATAAGTCTTTTTTCTTTTTTTTGGAGACAGGTCCTCCCTCTGGCGCCCAGGCTGGAGTGCAGTGGCCCAATCAGCTTACTTCAGCCTTGACCTCCCTGACTCAGGTGATCCTCCCACCTCGGCCTCCCAAAGTGCTGGGATTACAGGCATAAGCCGCTGTGCCCAGCTGATATAAGACATATTTTTAACCAACTTTAAGATCTTAGTTTTTTTTCAGGATGGTTATAAGCGAAGGTAGAATTGCAGAAAGACTTTGTGGTAAATATTCAGGATTCGGCTCTGTTGCCTTACAATTTGTTAAGTGCATGATGGAAAAATAGTTGAAACAATGCAACAGCTGTCTCAGTTCTGAAAGTTAACTCAGAAATGGCAGAAAGCAAGGTCAGGCATGGTGGCTCCGAGCACTTTGGGAGGCCAACGTGGGAGGATGGTTGAAACTCTGTCTCTATGAAAAATATAAAAATTAGCTGGGCATGACAGTGCACACGTGTAGTCCCAGTTACTCAGGAGGCTGAGTTGGGAGGATCACCTGCGCCCAGGAGTTTGAGGCTACAGTGAGCTATGGTGGCACCACTGCACGCCAGCCTGGGCGGCAGAGCAAGGCCTTGTCTCAAAAAAAAAAAAATCATAAAAATAAAGCAATGGTAGAAAGCAGAATTTGACCTTTCAGTTACAGATGAGGAACAAAGTGAGGAGAGGCCATTTTTTGGTAAAAGAACCATCTGGCGGGACGCATTGGCTCATGCCTGTAATCCCAGCACTTTGGGAGGCCAAGGCAGGAAGATCACCTGAGGTCAGGAGTTCGAGACCAGCCTGGCCAACGTGGTGAAACCCCATCTCTACTAAAAATACAAAAATTAGCCGGGTCTCATGGCAGGCGCCTGTAATCCCAGGTACTCGGGAGGCTGAGGCAGGAGAATCACTTGAACCCGGGAGGCAGAGGTTGCACTGAGCCGAGATCGCGCCATTGCACTCCAGCCTGGAGGACAAGAGCGAGACTTTATCTCCAAAAAAAAGAGAACCATCCAAAAATTGCTCAGAGGTCAAGAATTTCAGAAGAAAATACAAAAACTTTGGCTGAAGAAGATTTAACTAGTGCTATAGAAGGCTTAAGAAGTGTGGTTCTAGCACTTTTCCAACTCATATTTGTATCAAATACCAGGAAAAATAGTTATCACCATTTATCATCTAGATTTCTGGGCCGTTTTACTGTTTTGTCATTTTAAGTTGTTTTACACGTAATTTACAGAAGTAAGAATAAAGCAATAATTTAAAACAACTTTATAAGAAATTTGATCCAACCTCTTTGTATCAAGTAAGTTTTGACACACAAACATTAGAAGTGTCCTCTTAAGGAAGTGGATGGTCCAGGTTCCTTTGAAGTGTGATCATTCATGTGAGCGGGCAGCTGATTGAGACTACTGTGTCCCCTTTTCGTCCCTCACTTCCTCTTGATTCTGAGAAGATTGATCTAGGGTATTGTCAAATGAAGACTTGTCTGAGATTTTATTTTCACGTCAGTTTTGCCATCATCATTGGCCATGGGTGCTCTCTCTCTGCATTCATCTTGTGACTCATCTAATGATCCCGAAAAGTCGACACTGTCATGTTTCTTTGCTATTTTGGGAAGAAATTGAAATGTTCTTAGTGAATCATCTTGTTAAAGCAAGCTAATCTGGGCACTGTGGCTCATGCCTGTATTGCCAGCATTTTGGGATGCTGAGGTGGGAGGATTGCTTGAGCCCAGGATTTTGAGGCCAGCTTTGGAACATAATGAACAGAGACCCTGTCTCTACAAAAAAATAAAAAATAAGCTGGGCACAGTGGCGCATGCCAGTAGTTCCAGCTACTCAGGTGGCTGAGGCAGGAGGATCACTTGAGCCCAGGAGGTTAAGGTTGCAGTGAGCTGGGATTGCACCACTGCACGCCAGCCTGGGTGACAGAGCAAGACCTTGTCTCAAAAAATTAATTAAATTTCTTTTTTAAAGTAGAATTCATGGCCGGGCGCAGTGACTCACACCTGTAATCCCAGCACTTTGGGAGGCCGAGTTGGGCAGATCACAAGGTCAAGAGATTGAGACCATCCTGGTCAACATGGTGAAACCCCGATTCTACTAAAAATACAAAAATTAGCTGGGCATGGTGGCACGCGCCTGTAGTCCCAGCTACTCAGGAGGCTGAGGCAGGAGAATGGCGTGAACCCGGGAGGCAGAGCTTACAGTGAGCTGAGATTGTGCCACTGCACTCCAGCCTGGGTGACAGAGTGAGACTTCGTCTCAAAAAAGACAAAAAAGAAAAAAAAAATTAGCCGGGCGTGGTGGCATGCGCCTGTAGTCCCAGCTACTCGGGAGGCTGAGGCAGGAGAATTGTTTGAACCCGGAGGCGGAGGTTGCAGTGAGCCGAGGTCATGCCACCAGCCTGGGCGACGGAGTGAAACTTTGTCTCAAAAAAAAAAAAAAATTACAGGCTGGGCACGGTTACTCACACCTGTAATCCCAGCACTTGGGGAGGCCGAGGCGGGTGGATCACCTGAGGTCAGGAGTTCAAGACCAGTCTGGCCAACATGGTGAAACCCCCGGGAGGTTGAGACAGGAGAATCACTTGAACCCAGGAGGTGGAGGTTTCAGTGAGCCGAGTTCGTGCAACTGCATTGCAGCCTGGCAACAGAGCAAGACTCCGTCTCAAAAAAAAAAAAAAAAGTAGAATTCATTAAGAAGAGGGGCAGGAACATCATTAGGGAAATTACTTGCATTATAAAAATGTTTAGAGCTGGCCAGGTGTGGTGGCTCATGCCTGTAATCCCAGCACTTTGGGAGGCCAAGGCGGGCGGATCACGAGGTCAGGAGATCAAGACCATCTTGGCTAACATGGTGAAACCCTGTCTCTACTAAAAATACAAAAATTAGCTGGGCGTGGTGGCGGGCACCCATAGTCCCAGCTACTAGGGAGGCTGAGGCAGGGGAATGGCGTGAACCCAGGAGGCGGAGATTGCAGTGAGCTGAGATTGTGCCACTGCACTCCAGCCTGGGCGACAGAGCAAGACTCCGTCTCAAAAAAAAAAAAAAAAATGTTTAGAGCTTGGGAATTGTTAATGCGGAAGGTGCACGTTCTGAACAGGTGGAAGTGAGCTCTACTTGTTAAATGAAGTCAGCACAGGCCTGCAGATAGAGGAGCTGGGAAGGGCCTGAGGCTGCAGCCCTAGACCTTGCTTTAAATGCTTCTTTCTGGTCCTCCCCTTCTTAGCCGGAGGACTGTGATGGAGAGAAGAGAGAGGACTTGGAACAGCTGCAGCAGAAGCAAGTCAATGACCATCCTCCAGAGCAGTGTGGGATGTTCACAGTCAGTGACCACCCACCAGAACAGCATGGGATGTTCACAGTCGGTGACCACCCACCAGAACAGCGTGGGATGTTCACAGTCAGTGACCACCCACCAGAACAGCATGGGATGTTCACAGTCAGTGACCACCCACCAGAACAGCGTGGGATGTTCACAATCAGTGACCACCAACCGGAACAGCGTGGGATGTTCACAGTCAGTGACCACACACCAGAACAGCGTGGGATCTTCACAATCAGTGACCACCCAGCAGAACAGCGTGGGATGTTCACAAAGGTATTCTTTAAGTTCTCTGTTAAGGTGTATTCTTTGTCAAAAGATTTCTTTATGTTGTAGAAATCCAAACCAGTGAGAGGACCTTCCATCTCTGCAGGGCCTCTCTTTAGAAGTGGAAACTGGAAGCATAGAGAGCTGGAGGCAGAGGCTCACCCTGTAGGCCCCACGTGCTGCCGCCTGCACGTTCTTAGTGTTGCCTGTGAATGGGAAGCCTCTCTTCATACCCTTCTCCCTGAGCTCAAATCTGCCTCCCTTGTGATCTTCCTTTTTTGTTTTTCCCATGGGACATTGAAGAGAAGCCACCCTTCATAAGTTTGAGGAATGTCATGAATTCCCTTTATTCTAGTTGCCCTTGTCGATTGACTCACCTGTCTGTTCAGCCTGTTTCTTAGGCCTGGTACCTCGTTTCTCACATCATCAGTTTGTGACTGGAAGTCCTGTGCCAGTTGAGAGCCTGGCAGGGCAGGGAGGCTGTGGTCAGTCTGCATGTCCCTGGTTTCTGCCACGTTCCTGGTGGGATGAATTCCATACGTGTTGAGTTGATTACCTTTATTTTATTGACATGTTTTTTGTTAGCATGTGGAGGAAAACATTAAGTTTGGAATTGACTACTTTTGAAGTGTTATGTTAAAAGCATATATTTTAGGCTGGGCACGGTGGCTCACGCCTGTAATCCCAGCACTTTGGGAGGCCGAGGTGGGCGGATCACGAGGTCAGGAATTTTAGACCAGCCTGGCCAATATGGTGAAACCCCTCTCTACTAAAAATACAAAATTAGCTGGGTGCCACTGCACTTCAGCCTGGGAGACAGACCGAGATTCCATCTCACAAAAAAAAAAGCCTCTATTTTAGCCATTTGATTCTAGCTAGACTCAGTTCACACTGCTTTAGGCAAGTTTGGTTGTTTTTTGGTTTTTGGGGTTTTTTTTTTTTTTTTAAATAGAGACGGAGTCTTGCTCTATTGCCCAGGCTGGTGGTGCGATCTTGGCTTACTGTAACCTCCGCCTCCTGGGTTCAAGCGATTCTCCTGCCTCAGCCTCCCAAGTAGCTGTGATTATAAGCACCCACCACCATGCCTGGCTAATTATTGTATTTTTAGTAGAGACAGGGTTTCCTCATGTTGGTCAGGCTGGTGCTGACCTCAAGTGATCTGCTCGTCTCAGCCTCCTGAAGTGTTGGGATTACAGGCGTAAGCCACTGCACTTGGCCGGCAAATTGTTTGTTTTTTGAGATGGAGTTTTGCTCTTGCCCAGGCTGGAGTGCAGTGGCGCGATCTCGGCTCACTGCAACCTCCGCCTCCCAGGTTCAAGTGGTTCTTCTGCCTCAGCCTCCCAAGTAGCTGGGATTACAGGAGCATGCCACCACGCCTGGCTAATTTTTATATTTTTAGTAGAGAAGGGGTTTCATCATATTGGTCAGACTGGTCTCGAACTCCTGACCTCAGGTGATCCTCCTGCCTTGGCCTCCCCAAGTGCTGGGATTACAGGCGTGAGCCACTATGCAGGCCAAGTTTAGTTTTTAATCTGCATTATTGCAGGAAAGATCTAACTCCTAGGTGAGGCCTGGAAGCACAGTCTCTGGTGGGTTCTATAAAACCCACTCTTCATTTATTTATTGACTTCTTGGGACCGGGTCTCATTCTGTCCCCTGGGCTGGAGTATGGTGGTGCCATCACAGCTTAGTGTAGCCTCAACATTTTGATTCTTAAGTTGTTGCAGCTCTGTCCGTGGGGAGCCCCTTCAGGTGGCTCCTGTGTCATGTGTTTGAAGCACATCCTGGCTTGTGACACTGCAAGTTGGTGCCGCAGGCTCATCGTGTAGGCCCTGTCTCCGTTCTGAGTCCGCTGTTTCTCCAAGGAGTCTTGGTGCCTTTTACTAGATTATGGTGTTGAGACCAAGACCTGGGCTCTAGGTGTGCTCACTCCTGCTGGGATGTTGCTGCTGCTTCTGGGCTCTCTCCGTGGACAGAGTGAGGAAGGGTGTGCCTGGGAGCTAGTCTGTGTGTACACTCATAGCTGTATTTATGTTCATTTGTATTTATAGACATATATGTTAAATAGGAATACATACTGATACCTCAGAGCCTAATCCAGCACCACAGAGTTCATTCTGCCCTCCCCCCCAGGTTTATTTGCAGTTTCCTTCTCGGATAGTGAGAAGCCTGGCTCTCACTTCTGCCATTTATTTACTTTAAAAAAAAAAATTAGAAGGTTGTTTTTTTTGTTTGTTTGTTTGTTTGTTTGTTTTTTTGAGACAGTCTCGCTCTGTTGCCCAGGCTGGAGTGCAGTGGCAGGATCTCGGCTTGCTGCAGCCTCTGCCTCCTGGGCTCAAGTGATTCTCCTGCCTCAGCCTCTCTAGTAGCTGCGATTACAAGTGCTGCCACCATGCCTGGCTAATTGGGGTTTCACCATGTTGGTCAGGCTGGTCTCCAACTCCTGACCTCAGATGATCCACCCGCCTCAACCCCCCAAAGTGCTGGGATTACAGGTGTGGGCCACCACGCCCGGCCCCATTTATTTACTTATTTGTTCAACTCTCCTGTAAGTGTATAATAGTTTCAGAATTAGCAACCCACATCATATAAGAAACAAATTTACCAAGTGGATTTAAGTGTTTGTTTACAGCTCCTTTGTCTCCATTTTCAGTTTCCAGTCACAACTGTTTTCCAAGGTTACTCAGGTCACTCCTCTCTTCCCCAGCCCTTCACTAAGGTTGTGTCTTCACTGGTGAGTATGTAGTCAGGTTCATTGGTCACTGGCTACTTCCTATCCTGGGATCCCACAACATCCTGGTCAATTTTTTAAAGTTGCATACTGTTTTGTTTTGTTTTTTGAGATGGAGTTTCGCTCTTGTTGCCCAGGCTGGAGTGCAGTGGCGCGATCTCGGCTCTCCGCAATCTCCGCTTCCCGGATTCAAGCGATTCTCCTACCTCAGCCTCCCGAGTTGCTGGGATTACAGGCATGCGCCACCACGCCTGGCTAGTTTTGTATTTTTAGTAGAGATGGGGTTTCACCATGTTGGTCAGGCTGATCTTGAACTCCCAACCTCAGGTGATCCGCCCCCACCTCGGCCTCCCAAAGTGCTAGGATTACAGGCATGAGCCACCGCGCAGACTGTTTTTTTTGAGACAGTGTCTTGCTCTGTTGTCCAGGCTGTAGTGCAGCGGTACAATCTTGGCTCACTACAGCCTTGAACTCCTAGGCTTAGGCAGTCCTCCCACCTCAGCCTCCCAAGTAGCTGGGATTACAGGCACGTTCCACCACACCTGGCTAAGTTTTGTTTTTATTTTTTTGTAGAGACAGGGTCTCACTGTGTTGACAGGACTGGTCTTGAACTCTTGGGCTCAAGTGATCCTCCTGCCTCGGCCTCCAAAATGCTGGGATTACAGGTGTGAGCCACCTCGCCCACCCTAAAATTTGCATGCTTCTAAGTTCATTCTTTGTGATGCACAATTGTGTAGAGTCATATTCACCACCCAGTTACCCTCGAGAACAACCCCAGCCCCCAAGAGGGCCCGTGTCCTCTTTCTAACCAGCCGCTCTCTCCTTCCCCAGCCTCTGGCAACCAGTGGTCTGTTTTTTGTTCTATGGTTTTGCCTTTTCCAGAATGTTCTACAGATGGAATTCTATAATATGTAGGCTTTTGGGTCCAGGTTTTTAAATCACTTAGCAAAATGAGTTGAAGATTCATCCAAGCTTTAGATTGATCAGTAGCTCATTCCTTTTTGATGCTGGTTAGTACTTCATTGTGTGCATGGTACACAGTTTGTTTATCCACTCACCTGGTGAGGGACATCTTTCTTCTAGCTTTTTTGTGAATATGAATAATGAATGTGTCTTTTTTTTTTTTTTTTTGAGACGGAGTTTTGCTCTTGCACTCTTGTCGCCCAGGCTGGAGCGGTGATCTCGGCTCACTATAACCTCTGCCTCCTGGGCTCAAGCGATTCTCCTGCTTCAGCCTCCCGAGTAGCTGGGATTACAGGTGTGCACCACCATGCCTGGCTAATTTTTGTATTTATTTATTTATTTATTTTGAGACAGGGTCTCTCACTCGCCCAGCCTAGAGTGCAGTGGCCCATTCTCAGCTCACTGCAACCTCTGCCTCCCAGGCTCAAGGGGTTCTCCCGCCTCAGCCTCCCGAGTACCTGGGATTACAGGTGCATGCCACTATCACTTGGCTAATTTTTGTATTTCTAGTAGAGACGGGGTTTCACCATGTTGGCCAGGCTGGTCTCGAACTCCTGACCTCAAATGATCCACCCGCCTCGGCCTCCCAAAGTGCTGGGATTACAGGCGTGAGCCACCGCACCCGGCCTAATTTTTGTATTTTTAGTAGGGATAGTTTTACCATGTTGGCCAGGCTGATCTCGAACTCATGATCTCAGGTGATCTGCTCACCTCGGCCTCCCAAAGTGCTGGGATTACTGGTGTGAACAACTGTGCCTGGCCTGTTTTTATTTCCCTTCTTGAAAGCCTGGCTGGCGTAGACATATAGTTGGCAGTTGGTGTCTTGCTTGCCGGTGGTTTCGCTCTGCCCCTCTCTAGCTTGTGTTCACTGCCGTGGCCACCCTGAAGGCTTTTGTCTTTGGTGTTCTGCAGTTTTGATTTTATGTGTTCTTTAGAGGGACAGAACTAAAAGGATAGATAGACATATAAAGGGGAGTTTATTAAGGAGCATCGAGTCACATAATCACAAGGTGAGGTCCCACAGTAAGCCATCTGCAGGCTGAGGAGCAAGGAAGCCAGTCTGAGTCCGAAAGCTGAAGAACTTGGAGTCTGATGTTTGAGGGCAGGAAGCATCCAGCATGGGAGAAAGATGGAGGCCAGAGGGCTAACCAGTCTAGTCTAGTCCTTCCACGCTCTTCTGCCTGGTTTTATTTTGGCCACACTGGCAGCTGATTAGATGGTGGCAACCCAGATTGAGGGTGGATCTGCCTTTCCCAGTCCATTGACTCAAATTTTAATCTCCTTTGGCAACACCCTCACAGACACATTCAGGGACAATACTTTGTATCCTTCAATCCAATCAAGTTGACAATGTTAACTATCACACCAGGTATGGCTTTTTATGATGTCTTTGATTCTGCTTGGGATCTAGGGTTTTCTTCAATGTGTGGATGATGCTTTTCTCATCTGTTGCCTCAAATCCTAACCAGTATCTCCATCATACCTTCTACCTGTTCTTTCTCTCCATTAAGTTTTAGAGTTCTCTTGCATACCGTATTTGTCCATTCTCATGCTGCTAATAAAGGCATACCCAAGACTGGGTAATTAAGGAAGAGAGGTTTAATGGACTCACAGTTCCACGTGGCTGGGGAGGCCTCACAGTCATGGTGGAAGGCAAGGAGGACCAAGTCACATCTTAGGTGGATGGTGGAAGGCAAAGAGAGAGAACTTGTGCAGAGGAACTCCTCTTTATAAAACCATCGGATCTAGTGAGACTTATTCACTCTCAGGAGACAAGCACGGGAAAGACCCGCCCCCATGATTCAGTTACCTCCCACTGGGCCCCTCCCATGACACGTGGGAATTGTGGGAGCTACAAGTCAAGATGAGATTTGGGTGGGGACACAGCCCAATCATATCACATACGTATAGCTCAGCCCACTTTTGTGCTTGCCTTCTTTTTGCTCTTGGCCGTAGGCTGGATCGTTTTATCTGTGTTATCTCCCATTTTTCTAAACCTCTGTTCATCTGTATATAATCTGCTGTTAAATACGTCCAGAGTTGTTAATTTTGTTCTTGCTGTTTTTAGTTCTATTTGGATTCTTTAAAATTGGTTGTTATTCTGCATAATTTTTTGTTTCCTAGAGATATTTTCAAACTTATTTTAACTGTACATCTTTTTTTGTGAGTGAATTGGTCTCCACTTTGGCCTGGTATTTGGAGGTGCAGTGAGCCTATCCACTTTGTTTTTTATTGAGATGGAGTCTTTCTCTGTTGCCCAGACTGGAGTGTAATGGTGTGATCTCGGCTCACTGCAACCTTCACCTCCCAGGTTCAAGTGATTCTCCTACCTCAGCCTCCCAAGTAGCTGGGATTACAGGTGCCCGCCACCATGCTGGGCTAATTTTTGTATTTTTTTTTAGTAGAGACGGGGTTTTGCCATGTTGGCCAGGCTGGTCTCGAACTCTTGAGACGAAGTCTCACTCTGTAGCCCAGGCTGGAGTGCAGTGGTGCCATCTCAGCTCACTGCAACCTCTGCCTCCCAGGTTCAAGAGATTCTCATGCCTCAGCCTCCTGAGTAGCTGGAATTACAGACGTGTGCCACCATATCCGGCTGATTTTTGTATTTTTAGTAGAGATGGGTTTCCCCATGTTGGCCAGGCTGGTCTTGAGCTCCTGACCTCAAGTGATCTGCCCACCTTGGCCTCCCAAAGTGAGGGGGTTACAGGCATGAGTCACCGCGCCTGGCCAGCCCATCCACTTTGAATGGAATGTGTTGCTCGGGTTGATTTGGATCACTATTATTTTGGGTCTGCCGTGGGTGCCACTTCTCAGGATCTTTTTTTGGTTCCTTGAATGTTTTCTGTTTTCCATATGTCCGTTATTCCGCTTGGAGTAGCACATTGTCTGGTCTTTTTTAGTGAGGTGTTTGTGTTACTTTTGTGAGAAGTCTGTGTTATGGCTCGTGGGAGTCCCTTCAAGTTCAGTGCCACATTTTCATCTGATCAGTCTTCCAAAAATATCCCTTTCCCTAGACACGTTTTAATATAATTTTTATTTTTTATTTTATTTTTTCTCACGTCTAGTAAGGCAGGGAATATTTTTAAATTTTTTTGTAGAGATGGGATCTCACTATATTGACCAGGGTAGGCTCTAACTGCTGGTCTCAAGCCATTCTCCTGCCTCGGCCTCCCAAAGTGCTGGGATTATAGGTATGAGCCTCCACACCTGGCCTCCTGGACGTGTTTTGTTTTGTTTTTTAATTTTGAGACGGGGTCTTACCCTGTTGCCCATGCTGCAGTAAGTGGCACAATCGTAGCTTACTGCACTCTCCACCCCTGGGCTCAAGCAGTCTTTCTACTCAGCCTCCTGAGTAGCTGGGAACACAGGCATGCACCACCATGCCTGGCAAATTTTTAAATATTTTGTAGAGATGGAGTCTTGTTACATTCACTAGGCTGGTCTCAAACTTCTGGCCTCAAGTGATGCTCCTGCTTTACATGCTTTTTACTTATTTTTTTTTTTTTGAGATGGAGTCCCGCTCTGTTGCCCAGCCTCGAGTGTGGTGATGCAAATTCGGCTCATTGCAACCTCTGCCTCCCAGGTTCAAGTGATTCTCATGCCTCAGCCTCCTGAGGAGCTGGGATTATAGGCATGCACCGCCATGCCTGACTAATTTTTTATTTTTAGTAGAGATGGGGTTTTGCCATGTTGGCCAGGCTGGAGTGCAATGGTGCAATCTTGGCTCACTGCAACCTCTGCCTCCTAGGCTTAAGTGATTCTCCTGCCTCAGCCTCCTAAGTAGCTGGGATTACAGGCGTGCACAACTGCGGCCAGCTAATTTTTGTATTTTTAGTAGAGACAGGGTTTCACCATGTCGCCCAGGCTGGTCTTGAACTCCTGACCTCAGGTGATCTGCCCCCCTCGCCCTCCCAAAGTGCTGTGATTACAGGCGTGAGCCACTGTGCCTGGTCTCCATACTGTATTTTTATAGTGATTGTACTAGTTTACGTTCCCACCAGCAGTGCAAAGGTTTTCTGTTTTCACTGCATCCATACCAACCTGGATGTGTTTTTTATCTGTTTGTGTCATCAATTCTTTCTTTTTTTTTTTTCTTTTTTTTTTGAGACGGAGTTTTGCTCTTGTTGCCCAGGCTGGAATGCAATGGCATGATCTCGGCTCACTGCAACCTCCGCCTCCCGGGTTCAAGTGATTCTTCTACCTCAGCTTCCAGAGTAGTTGGGAATACAGGCATGTGCCACCACGCCCAGCTAATTTTTGTATTTTTAGTAGAGACGGAGTTTCAGCAGATGGTCTCAATCTCTTGACCTCGTGATCCGCCTGCCTCGGCCTCCCAAAGTGCTGGGATTGCAGGTGTGAGCCACCGTGCGCAGCCAGCGATTTCTTTCAGCAGTGTTTTGTGGTTTCCCTTGTAGAGATTTTTCGCCTCCTTGGTTAGGAATATTCCTAAGTATTTTATTTTATTTTTTGCAGCCATCGTAAAAGGTGTTGAGTTCTTCATTTGGTTCTCAGCTTGGTCACTTTTGGGGTATAGCAGTGCTACTGATTTGTGTATGTTGATTTCGTGTCCTGAAACTTTACTGAATTCATCGATCAGATGTAGGAGCTTTCTGGATGAGTCTCCAGGGTTTTGTAGGTAAACGATCCTGTCATCAGCAGACAGGGACTGTTTTTCCTCTTTACTGATTTGGATGCCCTCTATTTCTTCTCTTGTCTGATTGCTCTGGCTAGGACTCCAGAGCAGTGGTGAAAGTGAGCATCCTTGTCTTTTTCCAGTTCTAAAATGCCTTCAACTTCTCCCTTTTCAGTATAATGTTGGCTGTGGGTTTGTCATGAATGGCTTTTATTGTCCCTTCTATGCCGATTTTGCTGAGGGTTTTAATCGTAAAGGGATCCTGGATTTTGTCAAATGCTTCTTCTGCATCTATTGAGATGATCATATGATTTTTCTTTTTAATGCTGTTTATGGGGTATATCACATTTGTTAACTTGTGTGTGTTGAACCTTCATCCCTGGTATGAAACCCAAGTGTATTATCTTTTTTATGTGCTGTTGGATTCCGTTAGCTAGTATTTTGTTGAAGATTTTTGCATCTATGTTCATCAGGGATATTGGTCTGTAGTTTTCTTTTTTTGTTATGTCCTTTCCTGGTTTTGGTATTAGGGTGATACTGACTTCATAGAATGATTTAGGAAGGATTCTTTCTTTCTCTATCTTTTGGAATAGTTTCAGTAGGATTAGTACCAATTCTTCTTTGAATGTCTGATAGAATTCAGCTGTGAATCCCTCTGGTCCTGGACAATTTTTGTTGGCAATTTTTAAATTACTGTTTCAGTCTTGCTGCTTGTTACTGGTCTGTTCAGAATTTCTGTTTCTTCCTGGTCTAATCTCGAAGGGATGTATATTTCCAGGAATTTATCCATCGCCTCCAGGTTTTCTAGTTTGTGCACATAAAGGTGTTCATAGTGGCCTTGAGTGATCTTTGGTATTTCTGTGGTATTGGTTGTAATGTCTCCCATTTAGTTTCCAATTGAGCTTATTTGGATCTTCT
Organism: Homo sapiens; assembly: GCF_000001405.40. Classification (NCBI taxonomy): domain Eukaryota; kingdom Metazoa; phylum Chordata; class Mammalia; order Primates; family Hominidae; genus Homo; species Homo sapiens. Next base: position 46,344,005 of record NC_000021.9, read on the forward strand.
CTCTTCCTTTCCTGGTTAATCTCACTAATGATCTATCAGTTTTGTTTATCTTTTCTTTTCTTTTCTTTTTTTTTTTTTGAGATGGAGTATCGCTCTGTCACCCAGGCTGGAGTGCAGTGGCGCGATCTCTGTTCACTGCAAGCTCTGCCGGGTCTGCCTCCCGGGTTCATGCCATTCTCCTGCCTCAGCCTCCCGAGTAGCTGGGACTACAGGCGCCTGCCACCACGCCCAGCTAATTTTTTTGTATTTTTGGTAGAGAGAGGGTTTCACCATGTTGGCCAGGATGTTCTCAATCTCCTGACCTCATGATCCACCTGCCTCAGCCTCCCAAAGTGCTGGGATTCCAGGTGTGAACCACCGCGCCCGGCCCGAGCTCCTGACATTGAAGGGAGATGTTGCTGCACTCATGTGGCCGCCCACCCTGGGGACGAGTCCCCGCACAGGCAGCCCTTGTGGAGCCCACCATGCCGCCCTTCCCTGTCCAGTTCCTCCGGGGGCCTTTCTAGCTTTTGCAACTGTATCAAGCCTGTATCTCTCCATCCCTAGCCAGTTCCCCAGTTGGGGCAGAAAAATTTAGTTTGGGTCATTTTTTAATCGGAAGTACTCTGTGAGCAAGTGGGTCACCTGGAGCCCAGAAAGGTGCCTGGCTGATGCAGGGGAAGCCAGAGAATGGTCGCTTCCACAGGCAGGGGATACGTCCCAGGCGCCAGTCGAGGGGCAGGAGCCTGCAGGGAGGGCCACAGTGACGGTGGGCTCAGGATCCGTGCCGACGGGCCCCCTGCAGCTTTTCTTTTCCCTTTGGGTTATTGCTGCTGAAAAGGTTTCCAGAGGTGGGAATGTTGAGACAGGGAAAGGCTTTCTGTGGCTCGACCTGTGTTGCCAAAATGGCTGCTGAGAAAAAAGTTGAAGCAACTGATTCTGATGTTGGTAGCATTTGGGTGCATTTGTTTCTTGTGACTGTGGTGGCACTGAGGATTCGTAATATTCTTCCCAACTTTTGCTGATTTAGTGGCCATACAAGGATCTTTAAAGTTTGTGTCTCTAGATTGGTTTACCTTTCATCGGTACCCACTTTTTCCAGGCATTTTATGCACATTTTCTCTCTGTAGGCGTCATTTCCGCCTTTTTCCTGAGAGCAGGTTGTTTGTTCCTCCCGTGGCAGCACTGCTGTGGCGTGGGGAGAGTCCACAGCTTCTGTTTCTGGGACTTTATTTTGTTTATTTATTTTTTTGAGGTGGAGTCTCGCTCTGTTGCCCAGGATGGAGTGCAGTGGTGTGATCTCAGCTCACTGCAACCTCTGCCTTCCAGGTTCAAGTGATCCTCCTGCCTCAGCCTCCCAAGTAGCTGGGACTACAGGTGCCCGCCACCACGCCTGGCTAATTTTTGTATTTTTAGTAGAGATGGGGTTTCACCATGTTGGCCAGGCTGGTCTCGAACTCCTGACCTCAGGTAATCTGCCTGCCTCGGCCTCCCAAATTCTGGGATTATAGGCGTGAGCCACCATGCCTGGCCTGTTTCTGGGACTTTGACTTTACATTGTGATTTAAGCGAGTTTAATATTTTTCCTTCTTCTTTTTTTAATGAGATACAATTAACAAGCATACGATTCACCATTTTAAAGTACAGACCTCAGTGGCACTTAGTACACTCACAGCATGTGTGAGCACCATCTCCAGTGGCTCCAGACATCATCATCACCCCAGAAGGAAGCCCGGTGCTCGCGGCAGCCACCCCGCTCTCCTCCCTCAGCTCCTCGCAGCCTCCAGGCTGCTCCATGTCTACGGATTTGCAGATCCTGAACACTTGATGTAAACGGAACCTCACCATACGTGGCCTTCTGTGTCTGCTCTGTCACTCAGCCTCACGTCTTCAGGGCTCCTCTGTGTTGCAGCCTGAGTTGGGGCTTCGTTCCTTCTTGTGGCTGAATGGCAGCCCACGTTTGTTCAACCATTCATCCCTCAGGAGGCATTTGGGTTGCTCCCACCTTCTGGCCGTTGCGAGTGGTGCTGCTGTGAACAGCTGCGAACGGGGTTTTGTGAGGACGTGCGTCGTCAGTTCTTGAGCACATCACTGTGGCTTCTCATGTGAATTCTGGACCTACATTCTTTGCCTTTTTTCCCCAGGAGTGTGAACAAGAATGTGAACTTGCCATTACTGACCTGGAGAGCGGCCGTGAAGATGAGGCTGGCCTGCATCAGAGTCAGGTGACCCGGCGGGGCCTGCACAGGCTCACAGCATGGGCTCTGTTATCCCCACAGGGCACAGTGGGCATCCGGGTGGGGGTGGGGTGGGCGCTGCCATCTCCTTTCTCTGAGTTGTCTGTTTCCACGTTCTGTGTGTGGGGCCATCAGCAGGGCCGGTGGAGGAGACACACGTGGATGCTGGGGGTCAGGGGGCTTGGTCAGGTGCAGGCCACATGAATGACACACTGACCTCAGGCCGGTTGCTCTCCCTGTCAGCTGCGAAGCCCCCTCCAGGTACACACAGTGCCGTCATACAGCGAGGGAATTCGGGGTGCTGGTGCTCAGGGCAGTGATGCGCTGTGGGGTCACTGGCAGAGGAGCTGGGTGGCATCTCAGTGGCATCCGGGCCTCTGTGTCCTGCCCCTGCTTCCACGGGATGTCTGCTGTTTCATTTTCTGTGTCTTCCTTACTCATTCTCATTCATGCTTCTGTGTCTCCCTGATGCGCCCTGGTTCTGACCATGGGCCCTTATCAGAGGCCTTTTCTCCGCCGCAGGCCGTGCATGGCCTTGAGCTGGAGGCGCTGCGCCTGAGTCTGAGCAACATGCACACGGCGCAGCTGGAGCTGACACAGGCCAACCTCCAGAAGGAGAAGGAGACGGCATTGACGGAGCTGCGGGAGATGCTCAACAGCCGGCGTGCCCAGGAGCTGGCCCTGCTACAGAGCAGGCAGCAGCACGAGCTGGAGCTCCTCAGGGAGCAGCACGCACGGGAGAAGGAGGAGGTGGTGCTCAGGTGTGGACAGGAAGCAGGTACTGCATGGCTAGGCGGGCACGGGCAGCGTGTGGGCTCGGTGTGGGCATTCTAGTGCCTGTTCCCTCTTGGGGTTGGGAGCTGGGGCGCCCTAGCACCGTCTCCCCATCTCTGTTCTCAGCACCTTGCCTGGTGTCTGGCACCATGAGAGGGGTGAACAAAGGGGGCCCTTGGGTTTTTGTGGCCAGGAGATTATTAGAGCAGGTTTCCAGGTGGTCTGTGATAGGTGCGACCCAGGGCTGACCTTCACCTCCTCTCTTAGATCGTCCTGTGTGTCTGGAAGTCACGGTGTCCTCAGTTTGTTATTAAAGCCAAGCATCATCACAGACACATCCTGCTAGCCCGTGAATGCTGGCACGTGTCCAGTGGGTGCCAGAGCCTGGTCGTTTCCTGGGCAGTTGGGTCACTGAAAAGGTTGAGATGGAGTGGCCTGAGCTGCTTTTTGTTTTTCTTGCAGCTGAGCTGAAGGAGAAGTTACAATCAGAAATGGAGAAAAACGCCCAGATAGTAAAGGTACCCGGGATCGATTCTAAAATGCACGCCTCTGTGTATGTTGTTTTTCCTTTCTCGCCAGGTCCCATGAGAACGCTCCTCACCTTGATTCAGACAGAAGCCAGTCGAGGCTTTATTAGAATATGCTGGTTGAAAGTGTATTGCGTTCTTTGTTTATTTATATCATTTGTATTTGTCAGAAAACTTGTTTTGTTGTTTCACATTGACTTGCATAACACAAAGGCACTGCTCGGCCCCTCCATGCTGTCTTCTGAGTGGCCCCCATGGCCTGCCCCTGAGCTGTGTTCTGGGACACAGCCTCTGCCCTCGTGGATGTGGCAGTTCCCTGCAGTGCATGGGGTGTGGGTGCTGGGGTGCCGGGGAGAATACCACACAGGGAGGAGGTTTTGGGTGGGGTGGGTTGCACCTGCTGTGGGTGGCCTCACTGGGGACCACAGGTAGCAGTGCCCCGTCATTGCCAGGCCCTCCGCTAGAGGGCTGAGCTGTCAGCCATGCTGAGTGTGGAGGCCCTTCCTGAGTCAGGCATCTGGGCAGCTCTCAGGCCCTTGGCAGACGATGGGTGTTAGTCCAGGCTTGGGGTTGTGTTCCGGTCACCTGCTCCTCTGACGCAGGCAGTGAGACCCATTTCTCAGAACACTTGGGACAGAGCCCAGCCCTTGGGTGGAGGTTGGCAAAGTTGCCATTGGCCCCTGGGACTTATAGGGAGATGTATTACTAACGCTTTGAGGGTGACTGTGTGGATTAGGCCTTGCGTGCAGAGGCTCGTCTGTTTCGGGGTGGGTGGTCCTTGTGCAGAGGCTGGTCTGTTTCAGGGTAGGTGGTCCTCTCGCTTTGTGCAGATGCAGGTCTGTTTTGGGGTGGATGGTCCCTGTGCAGAGGCTGGTCTGTTTCAGGGTGGGTTGTCCCTGTGCAGAGGCTGGTCTGTTTCAGGGTGGGTGGTCCTCGTGTGCAGATGGCAGTCTGTTTTGTGGTGGGTGGTCCTTGCTCACTTTTCCTCAACTGCTTGCCTCCTGGATGCTTCTGCTTTTCTGTCCTGCCAGCATTCAGGGGAGAGACTGGGTGTAAGGCCTGTCAGGACAGTTTAGTTGGGGGCCATGACTGCCCATTCTTTTTTTTCTTTGAGACAGGGTCTCATTCTGCCTCCCAGGCTGGAGTGCAGTGGCACAATCACAGCTCACTGCAGTCTTGACCTCCTGGGCTCAATTGATCCTCCTGCCTCAGCCTCCCGAGTAGCTGGGACTATAGTTGCATGCCACCACATCCCACTAATTTTTGTATTTTTTTTTTTGTAGAGATGGGGTCTCACTATGTTGCCCGGGCTGGTCTGTAACCCTAACTCCTGGGCTCAGGCGATCTGCCTGCCTCAGCCTCTCAAAGTGCTGGGATTAGAGGCATGAGCCACGTTGCCTGGCCTGCTCAGAGGTTTTGACTGTGTGATTTAAATTTCTTTAGCACAGATAATCAACTATTGAGTTTAATTTTTTTTTCTTTTAAATTAGACCCTGAAGGAAGATTGGGAATCTGAAAAAGATTTATGTTTAGAAAATCTACGCAAAGAACTGTCTGCAAAGCATCAATCAGAAATGGAGGATTTACAAAACCAGTTTCAGAAAGAATTGGCAGAACAGAGAGCTGAGTTGGAGAAGATTTTTCAAGACAAAAACCAGGCTGAACGTAAGTAATGAAAATGAGCAAGTTTGGAGTGGGACTGAATTTTCCTAGGTAGTACTGGAAGGAATGTCGTTCATGTCACCATGCGTCATTGCGCACGTTTCCTACCTTCTAAATGCTGGATGGCCCCATGCACGTGTGACACGCTGGTGGCCGTCATGGGTCACAGGTCTCTCAGGGTCCTTAAACCTTCCTGATCTTTGTTTCAGAGATTTTTCTTGGCATGTTCAGTTGCTAAATTATTACAAAGCAGCAGCTTTGTGGTTGTTCACTTTTCATACTCCAGGGTTGTGTGTTCCAGCTTGACCCTCATGGTGGGTGGCATGGGTAGGCGATGTCCCCTGGTGCTATCAGGCATGTGAGGCTCAAACGAGGGGCCCGGGGGCGCCCAGGATGGGGCTCTGGGTGGCAGCGCTCTGGGTGCACCATTATTGTCACTGAGGTCGCTGTTGAGGAGAGTGATGTCTTGTAAACCAAGTGCCATTGCTTTACCTTTCTAGGGGCCCTTAGGAACCTGGAGAGTCATCATCAAGCAGCCATTGAGAAGTTACGTGAAGACCTGCAGTCCGAGCACGGCCGGTGTTTAGAAGACTTGGAGTTCAAGTTCAAAGAGAGCGAGAAAGAAAAACAGCTGGAGGTGGGCAGCAGCTTCGTTATTTAATTACTTGGTATATTAGGGAAGTTTTAACAGATTTTGGAATTGGGCTATTTCGTATTGTGTTATTTGCTAAAACTTAAGTTCTAAATTTAAAGAGACTGGCTGGGAACAGTGGTTCACGCCTGTAACTCTATCACTTTGGGAGGCCAAGGTGGGCAGATCATGAGCTCAGGAGTTTGAGACAAAAATTAGCCAGGCATGGTGGTGGGCATCTGTAATCCCAGCTACTCGGGAGGCTGAGGCACGAGAATCGCTTGAACCTAGGAGGTGGAGGTTGCAGTGAGCTGAGATCTCACCACTGCACTCCATCCTGGGCAACAGCGAGCCTCCGTCTCAAAAGCAAATAAATAAAATAAAATGAAATAAAAAAATAAATAGAGTGTTAGTGGTGAATAAAAGTGTAAGGATATAGTCTCTGAGACTGATTTAATAATTACGTTCAATCTTGTACTTAGGAATGCATGTTCTTTGCAGGCGTCCCTGAGACAGTTACACAAATCGCAGACACTAGGTAGGAGTGTAAGGCCACATCCTCTAACCGTGATCCAGTACACACGAGATTCCTAGGAAAAGTTAACAAGCATTTCTTTCTGCTGTGTGTATTCAAGATGCTTCTCTAATGAAGCACTACAATCAAAATGTTGATGTGGCCAGGTCCTCATTGGAGGCCTGACAAACCTGAGACTCAAACTGAGTATCCCAAGAATCAGTTGAAGAAATTAAAGCATAAATCAGAGATAGGGTTAATCGTGGTGTGTGAAAGATTTACAAACATGAGAATATGGAAGTAGTTGGGGTCTAGGGTCTTAGGGAGGCCTGTCCTGGGCCCCTTGTGTCTCCCAGCGGGACTCTGGTGCCCACACACCCTCCTCTCCTGCAGAGAGTCCAGGCCGGGGCTCACTCCACACCCCCAGTCTCTCCCTGGTCCCTTCCAGGCTCTCCCTCCGAGATGGGAAAGAGGGGGCTGGTAGCATCTTCTGGTCCTGATGCCCATGATTGGGAAAGGTAGGAGGAGCCGTTTCCATGAGGAGGACAGGCCAGCCCCAGGTGCAGCGTTGCCCAGGAGGAAATCACGCCATGCTGCGCTGGGCTGGGCTCTTGCTGATTGTACAGAAAAGTTTAGTGTCACGGTGTAAGAGGTACCTGCTTCCTTAATGTAGAAGTATTGAAACTGAGAGACCTCCTATTTGGGAGTCTTGGGTACTGTGGGCTAGTAAGACTCCCTAAATTCCATTCAGCAGTCTGTATGTATGACCCTAAACCGAAGCAGGGAGGTGCACAAGATGAAACTGCACCGCTGCGGCCGGCATGGAACCTGGCCGTGCCACCTCCTCAGCTGAGACAGACCTGGAAGTTCCTGAGATTCTGAAAGTGCCTGGCCTTGTGGGGTCAGCGCTGACCGATCCCTCTTGTCACGGACAGAGCTCTCTCGGTCTCTGCTGTGGCTGGCTTTCTCCGAGCTGCAGGTTTGGGATGTGAGCTTTTACCCTTAGGATCGCAGTGGCAGGGATAAAACCGCACACGTCACTGCTGGGGTGGGGGCCTTGAGCTCATTAGGGTTTCACCTGGACACTTTGCTTTTTCCAGTTAGAGAATCTTCAAGCATCATATGAAGACCTGAAGGCACAATCACAAGAAGAGATCAGGCGCTTGTGGTCCCAGCTTGATTCTGCCAGGACCAGTAGACAGGAATTGAGTGGTGAGGAATTGTATTGGAAAATTCAGATCCTCAAAAGCTGAAGCTGTGTGTTTTTCATTGTTGTAACACCAAGCCAGAATTTAACAATTCTAGCAAACACAAAAAAGTGGATTTACCTGTTTGACATCCTGAAGGTTGAGGTGTCTGGTTTGAAAGTGGAGGTTTGCTTTGTGGGAGAGAGCCCTGGTTTTATGCTAAGCAAGTCAGTGCAGCAGTGACGTGCACCTGTGTGTCCCTCAAGGCCAAGAGCAACACTTGCAGGGGGTGCCTTCATGTCTAAGGAAAGCTTACCAGTGGTGCTGAGCGTTTGCCTCGGAAGGACGGTTGAGTGCTGTCCAAGTGCGGGCTCACCTGGTGTCTGGGGTCACAGGGCAGTGCCCCACATCCTGCTGCCAGGCTCCTGTGGCCCCAGCTCTCCAGGCCACTTGCTGAAGGCAGCTCTGCTCCAGGTGTCCCCTTATAGCTGAGCACCTCTGGAGACCCCGACCCCAGGCCCCCCATTCCGTGTCAGAGAGGTCTTTGTGCAGCAGGCTTGGATGGTGCCTGAGGGCAGGGGCTGGCCAAGCCCAATTCAGGCACCGGCGCCCAGGTCCACAGGACAGGAGGGTGAGCCACTGCGTGTCTCCTGGCATTCATGTGCCGACAGAGCCTTTTGGCCCAACTTGTCCTTGTGGGTGGTGGGATTTGAAGCAAAGAGCACTTAGGAGAAAGAACTGGAGACACTGCCACTGTCACCAGGGCACCAGGCCTGGCTCCGCCTCCCAGCCCTGCGCCCTGCCGGGACCAGGTGCAGCTGAGAGCATGTCGATTTATCTTCCTCTGGGGGTCTGTCTGTCGCTGGAGGCTGGAGAAGAGAGAAGCTGAGGGGGCCACAGGCACAGCTGCTCCCCGCGGGCTCCGGCTCTGGCTTGGTCCTCTGCTTGTCTCTGTCCTGCCTCTCGGGACCCATGCAGAGAACCCCGATTTGCCCTCTCTGGGGTGCCCGTTGCTGGCTGTCAGCTGCTGTAGAGCAGCGGGCTGTATTCTGACCATAGTAGCCATGGAGACAAGTTCTTTTAGGGTCCGTGTTGCTTCTCTGCTGCTGTGTAACAAATTATCACAAACTTGGTGGCCTAAAACAACACAGTTGTCAGCTTACAGAAAGTCCAAGATGGTACAGCTGGGTTTTCTGTCCAGGGTCCCCCATAGCCCACATCCAGGTGTCAGCTGTCGTGTGCCAACCTGATGAGCCTGCTTCTGGGCTCGAGGTTGGTCTGGATCCAGTTTCCTGGGGCTGCAGGACCATCGTCTGTCTCCTTGCTGGCTGTGCCCCCCACATCCCTGCCACTTCGAGTGCTGCTTTTGCTCCCAGCCCTGTGGCTCTTGCCACCGCTTGGAGAGAGCTCTCCACATTCAGGGGCGTACGAGAGTCTAAGCCGTAGGGGTCCCTCATCCCTCTCCGGTTCTGGGATGGGCCCTTTTCCGAGTTCTGCCCCCACCACAGGTAACCAGGCTCTTGCCTCTCGCCTGGCTTGTTGTGGGTGTCCCATTTTAAGACGATTGCCTGACTCCGTTATGTTGCAGAGCTACATGAGCAACTCCTGGCGCGCACCTCTCGTGTGGAAGATTTAGAACAGCTGAAGCAGCGAGAAAAAACCCAGCATGAGTCCGAACTGGAGCAACTGAGGATTTATTTTGAAAAGAAGTTAAGGGATGCTGAGAAAACTTACCAAGAAGACCTAACCCTGTTACAGCAGAGGCTGCAGGGGGCGAGGGAAGATGCTCTTCTGGACTCTGTGGAAGTTGGGTAAGCAAAGCAGTTCCAGCCTCAGTGAGTTTCTGCCATACAGGGGCCAGGCTCTGAGTTCAGGGGTAGTTTTGTTGGTGATTTCATGCTAGTAGGCACCAATGGCCTTTTATACAAACACATTTTATGGTCCAGATTTAAAAGATGACACAGGCACGGGCACCCGAGAGTGGCCTGCATGTGTGTGTGCGAGCCATTGGTGGCCACACTCTGTCCAGGCCTGCGTGCACATGTTGGTGGTGGACACGCTCGTGTAGGCCAGCATGTGTGTGTGTGTGCATGAGTCAGTGGGCACGCTCTTGTCCAGGCCTGCGTGTGTGTGTGTTGGTGGCAGGGGCGCTCTCCTCCAGGCATGTGTGTGTGTTGGTGGCAGGGGCACTCTCCTCCAGGTGTGTGTGTGTGTGTGTGTGTGTGTGTGTGTGTGTGAGAGAGACAGAGAGAGAGTCAGTGGCGGGCACACTTTCTTCCAGACCTGCATGTCCCTGTGCCGTGTCTCTGGCTTTGTGACTGCCACGGCTCCCCGCACATGGACATTGCCCGTCCTTGACTGGAAGCACGAGGAGGCGCCTCTGCTGTGAGCAGTCGGTCCTGGGGAGGGAATGGCGCACACATGGAAAAGGGGTACGTGTGTAAAGCTTTTATAAAATGTTTTCCCTTCAGGTTGTCCTGTGTGGGTTTAGAAGAGAAACCTGAGAAAGGAAGAAAAGATCACGTTGATGAACTCGAGCCTGAGCGACATAAGGTAATTGGCCGCGCGCTGAGAAGTGGGGGAGTCCTGTGCTCTTGACCTTCCAGCCCTGCGTCTTCCACATTATAGAGCCTGTGTTTCCGTCCTTCCCACCTTGTCCAGGGGAGGAAGGCTGCTTGCGGATGCTGCCCCGACCTCACTGCTGCTCCGCGGTGGGCCTCACCATGCACTGTTTGATCAGGAAAGGGGGTGGCCGGGGGAGCCGGAGCCCCTCCCTCAGCCCTGGGATGCCCTGGCTGTGGGCAAGGCCTCCACCCTGCAGTGGGCTGCATTCGTCAGACTTGACAGTGGCAGTTCAAAGGGTGTGAAATTGTGTCTTTGCTTTGAGTCCACACGGAGCGTCTGCTGGCTTTTGTGTTTCTTCCTTGAGTTGCTTCCGTGCTGCGACTTCTGTCACCTTTAACTTCTGTGGGGCAAACTGTCCAAACGGAGCTTCTGGGATGTAGACTGTTCTGGGTCTGTGCTGCCAGTGTGGTGCCCAGCAGTATGTGTGGCTGTGGAGCACTTGATGTGCAGCATGAGCAAGCCCGGTGTCGGGCTCCGGGGGACACACGGGAGGGCAGGGAGGAGACGCAGGGGCAGCACCGCGTGGCTTGTTGCACGGTGGAACCAGTGGAGGGGAACTCGGGGCATCTGGGCTCAGCGGCCAGGAGCCCTCACTCTGGAGCAGGGTCCCTGGGCCTGCTGGAGGCCACAGGGTGTCCAGGCAGGGTGGCAGCGGGCTGTGTGCCAGTTTGAGTTCCCTGCAAAGCGGACCCCAACACAGAATTTGCTGCACAAGAGGCTATGGGGGAAATGCCAGAGAAGGGCAAGGGCCCGGCTGGAACAGGCAGCCAGGACCTTCCCACGAGCAGGCCTTGCACCAGAGAGAACCCAGGAAGGGCTGGGGTGGGTAGCCCCACCAGGCATTCGTGTATCACCTGAGAGCCAACCCCTGCCTCTGCGCGTGGGTGTGACGAGGACCCAGCTGTTAGTGGGCAGTGGTCACAGGAGGCTGGCCTTGAGAGCCCAGCCCTGAGATGTGAGGCCACCAGGGGAGACGCGAGGGGCACGTGCCCTACCGACCTTGCTGCTGAGAGAATTGAGGAGAGGTCTGCCCGGTCCAGGGCCCTGCCGCCCTGAGGAGCACCAGTCCCTGTCAGTGCCACCAATTCTTGTATGTCTTCCGGAGGCCTGACTGAGAGACGGGTGTGGGCGGGAGAGCATGTGAGCACGCCAGTGGGCTGGCGGGGTTCACCAGGGCGCAGCGTGTGGTCTCATGAACCTAGTGAGGTTTGAGTTTTCTTTGTGCATAGCAGGAAACACCTTTGAGGGTTATAGCTGCGAGCGAGGTAGCTTGGCTCACTAACGTGCTTGTCCCACGTGGTTTCTCTGTAGGAGAGCCTGCCACGCTTCCAGGCGGAGTTAGAAGAAAGCCACAGGCACCAGCTGGAAGCGCTGGAGTCTCCCCTCTGCATCCAGCACGAGGGGCATGTCTCAGACAGATGCTGCGTAGAGACTTCAGCATTGGGACACGAGTGGCGTCTGGAACCCTCTGAAGGGCACAGCCAAGGTGGGCCCCTCCCGCCTCGCCATGGTGTCGGCAGGTCCCGGGTCTGGGGGACGTTCTCGGGGAGCCTGGGTGCCTGGGTTCGATCCAAGTCCTCCGTGAAGCAGCTGAGTGCTCCGACCTCTTCTTCTGGGGCTGACACCTCAACAGAGTGTGTCCTGATGAGGGTTTGGCGTTAGAGGCGGGGTCACTGGCTGGGCAGGAGTGCGTGTCCTGGGCCAGCGCCCCAGCAGGGCAGGTCTGACCTGGGCAGCCACCCTGGGGGTCATGGGGATTGCTGGATGGACATGGTGACCATTCACCTCTGGAGGGAGAATGTGTGTCCACTGGGCCCAGGGGAGGCTTTTCCAGGATCCTGCTCTGCTCCCAGCAGGCCCAGGTACCCCAGCTCGCCTAGTCAGACTAAGGTTGTGGGATGTCCAGGCAGGGCACGGGGCACAGGGCTGTGGGGTCAGAAGGTGACGGAGAGGAAACTGCAGTCATCCCAGAGTCGCGGTCCCATGGCGCCGGACAGTGGCCACTGACGGGTTCCAGGAGGGGCAGGCGGCCCTGGCCACTGGCGTGGACTGTGCTGATGGTGGGGCTGCCGTCCATGGTGGGGGTGAGGGGCTGAGGCCGCGGGTCCTGCTGGGAGGTGTGTGGTCTGACTCCATTCTGGGCTGTGGCCAAGTTGAGAGAAGCCTGGGCCTGCCTGGGCCTCCTTCAAGCTGGGGGTGGTGCAGCGGCGCCTGCATCTGGTCCTCACTCCTGCCTGCCCTGCACCACAATTGTCCCCACAGCCACCCCTTGATGCCCATGGTCGTTGGCACCACTGGTGCCTGGCCAGCACCTAGTCCCTTCTGCTTTTTTCCTCTTCTGCAGAAGAAGAGATGGGCCAGTGGGGGTAGCGTGCCTGGGCACAGAACAGCAGGGGGAGGTGCTGGGACAGGAACCCTGGCAGGCCCCTGAGCTCAGGCCCTGTCCTTGTGGCTGCCTCATAGACCCTGGGTGACACATGTGTGCCCACATCTGGTCACAGGCATGAGGCTCACTCAGGAACTCATGGAGGGTCACATGTCACACCTGACCTGAAGGAGTAGCCTGGGCGGGTCGTGTGGCTGTCGTGTGGGCCCAGGACATCCCTGTGACTCGGGACGGCACTGTGCTGGGGCAGCATGGAGGTGTCCCGAAAGGGAGGGGAGACTTGAGAGAGCCATGCCTGCTTTCATCACTGAGTCAGCACAGAGCTTGAAAATCCACAGTGTCTGCTGTCAGAAGCATTTATAGGTTGCCGTTCTGCCTGTGCGGACTGTGGGCTCCATCGAGGGCCGGCACCGGCCTGACTGTCTTCCCTGCTCCTTTTCCACACAGAGCTTCCCTGGGTGCATCTCCAGGGTGTGCAGGACGGGGACTTGGAGGCCGACACAGAGCGGGCAGCCAGAGTCTTGGGTCTGGAAACTGAGCACAAGGTGCAACTTTCGCTTCTTCAGACTGAGCTCAAAGAAGAAATTGAACTCCTAAAAATAGAAAATAGAAATTTGTATGGGAAGTTGCAGCATGAAACTCGTCTGAAGGACGATTTGGAGAAGGTGAGTCGTGACTCCACAGCCCAGCGCCTCCCGCCCGAGTCCTTGCTCTCTTCCACCTGGAAGGCTTGTGTCCTTGTGTATGGAGGGGCATCCTGGGGACAGCCCAGTGCTGTACATGGCACATTTGTAAGGGCGACAGTCCCGTAAATTCTTGAAACTATTCCTGGCAATGCCAGTAGTGGGTGGCGGTTGGATAGAATCTTGTCAGGGTCAGCACCGGGGCGAAAGTGAAGTTCTGAGTGAAGATTTCTTTTTGTTTTGTTTTGTTTTGAGACAGTCTCATTCTGTTGCCCAGGCTGGAGTGCAGTGGCATGGTCTCAGCTCACTGCAACCTCTGCTTCCTGATTTCAAGTGGTCCCCTGATAGCTGGGATTACAAACGTATGCCACCATGCCTGGCTAATTTTTGTATTTTTTTTGTAGAGACAGGGTTTCACCTTGTTGGCCAGGCAGGTGTCAAACGCCTGACCTCAAGTGATCTGCCTGCCTTGGCCTCCTACAGTGCTGGGATTACAGGTGTGAGCCACCACGCCCGGCCCTCTGAGTCAAGATTTCTTAGGGAAACTGTCCAGGTGTCCTAAGAGGGCTCTGGGAGGAGGCACAAGCCCGGGTGCCAAGCACGTGGCTGGCCTCTGATGCTCACCCCAAGTCTTAAATTGCGTCCGCGTTCCCCAGGCTCTTCCTGTGCTGTTTTGCACCTGTGGAAGAGGCACCCTCTGACTCCCTCGCCCTTTGCGAGTGTGAGGACACTGCCATGCTGTCATAAATGATGACAAAGCAACACGACAGCAGCCTCCACATGGCCCGATGGGCTTGGTTACAGCCAGGGCAGCTCAGGGTCCATCCCATGCTGGAGCAGTGGATTTCAAGTGAGCCGACAGGGCAGCTCAGGGTCCGTCCCATGCCGGAGCAGTGGAGTTAAAGTGAACCAACAGGGCAGCTCAGGCTCCGTCCCATGCGGGAGCAGTGGAGTTCAAGTGAACCGACGGGGCAGCTCAGGGTCCATCCCGTGCCAGAGCAGTGGAGTTAAAGTGACTGAAATTGTCATGTCTTGTCATGTGTGTTCTGACTCAACCTCATGCTTGTGACAGTGTTTTCATTTCTATTTGTGTCCTGCTTCTCCCACCCCTTTGCTCCTCCCTGTGAATGTCTCCCTGAGAATGATTTTCATTCTCCATCAAGAGACAGCTTCATAGGAAGCTATGATGACCTGCAAGTCTGATCCCATGCTGTTTGTTAAATGCAGGTGTTGGTAAGGACTTCCAGCAAAATAGAGGTAAGGGTGGAGCCCTGTGGGGAGCCGGACAGGCGGTAGGTGGGCCGATGGTCATGTGCCAATGGCACCTGCAGCCACCAGTGTGTGGCCTTCTCTGGCACTGTTGGCTGAAGACAGACTTCCCAAGTGACTTTTTGTTGTTGTTGTTGTTTTGTTGTTTTGTTTTTTTTTTTTTTGAGACTGAGTCTTGCTCTGTCGCCCAGGCTGGAGCGTAGTGGCGCGATCTCAGCTCACTGCAACCTTCACCTCCTGGCTTCAAGTGATTCTCTTGCCTCAGCCTCCCTAGTAGCTGGAATTACAGGTGCACACCACCATGCCTGGCTAATTTTTTTTATTTTTTTTTATTTTTTTTGAGATGGAGTCTCGCTCTGTCACCCAGGCTGGAGCGCGGTGGCGCAATCTCAGCTCACTGCAAGCTCTGCCTCCTGGGTTCATGCCATTCTCCTGCCTCAGCCTCCCGAGTAGCTGGGAAGACAGGTGCCCGTCACCATGCCTGGCTAATTTTTTTTTTTTTTGTATCTTTAGTAGAGACGAGGTTTCACCGTGTTAGCCAGGATGGTCTCGATCTCCTGACCTCGTGATCCACCCGCCTCAGCCTCCCAAAGTGTTGGGATTACAGGTGTGAGCCACCGCACCCAACCATGCCCAGCTAATTTTTGTATTTTTAGTAGAGACAGGGTTTCACCATGTTGGCCAGGCTGGTCTCAAACTCCTGATCTCAAGTGATCTGCCCGCCTTGGCCTCCCAAAGTGTTGGGACTACAGGCGTGAGCCACCGAACCTGGCTCCAGGTGACTTTTTGATGCTCATGTCTTTATGCTTTTCACAGGCCACCATTTTACCTCCTTATATCAATTATGGGGAGAGGACTGTGGATTTCTCTCTTGTTAATTTTAATTCTTGTTTTGAGTATGTGGAAGCTCTGTTGTTACACGTGTACACATTTGTGATTGTAATGTCTTCCTAAAAATTCACCCTTTTCTGTCTTGTAGTATTCTGTCCAAAAATACACCTGTTTTTTTTTTGTTTTTTTTTTTTTTTTGAGACAGTGTCTCACTCTATCGCCAGGGTGGAGTGTAGAGGCGTGATCTTGGCTCACTGTACCCTCCGCCTCCTGGTTTCAAGCGATTCTGCTGCCTCAGCCTCCCGAGTAGCTGGGACTACAGGCACGTGCCACCACACCCGGCTAATTTTTGTATTTTTAATAGAGACGGGGTTTCATTATGTTGGCCGGGCTGGTCTCGAACTCCTGACCTCATGATCTGCCTGCCTCAGCCTCCCAAATTTTTGGGTTTACAGGCGTGAGCCACCGTACCCAGCCTCGTCTTTTATCAATACAGTCATTCCAACCTTCGTGTGCATTTTGTCTGGTGTATCTTTTTTTATTCGTTTTACCTTTTTTTTTTTCTTTTTTTTTGAGACAGGCTATTGCCCAGGCTGGAGTGCAGTGGCACAGTCTTGGCTCACTGCAACCTCTTCCTCCCAGGCTCAAGGGATCCTCCTACCTCAGCCTCCCAAGTAACTGGGAGTACAGGTGCACACTACCGTGCTGAGCTAATTTTTGTATTTTTTGTAGAGATGAGGTTTCGCCATGTTGTCCAGGCTGGTCTCAAGCTCTTGGGCTCAAGTGATCCACCCGCCTCGGCCTCCCAAAGTGCTGGGATTACAGATGTGAGCCACTGCACCTGGCCTACTTTTAATCTATTCAAAGTAAAGTGCATTTTATGTGGACAGCATATAGTTGGCAATTTTTTTTTTTTTTTTTTTTTTTTTTAAAGACGGAATCTCACTCTGTTGCCCAGGCTGGAGTGCAGTGGCACGATCTCGGCTCACTGCAACCTCTGCCTCCCGGGTTCATGCCATTCTCCTGGCTCAGCCTCTCCGAGTAGCTGGGACTACAGGCGCCCGCCACCACGCCTGGCTAGTTTTTTTTTTACATTTTTAGTAGAGATGAGGTTTCACCGTGTTAGGATGTTCTCGATCTCCTGACCTCGTGATCCGCCTGCCTCGGACTCCCAAAGTGCTGGGATTACAGGTGTGAGCCACTGCGCCGGCTTTTTTTTTTTTTTCTGAGACGGAATATTGCTCTGTCGCCCAGGCTGGAGTGCAGTGGTGCGATATCCGCCCACTGCAAGCTCCGCCTCCCAGGTTCACGCCATTCTCCTGCCTCAGCCTCCCGAGTAGCTGGGACTACAGGCGTCCGCCACCACACCCAGCTAATTTTTTATATTTTTAGTAGAGACGGGGTTTCACCATGTTAGCCAGGATGGTCTCAATCTCCTGACTTCCCGATCCGCCCACCTCGGCCTCCCAAAGTGCTGGGATTACAGGCGTGAGCCACCACGCCTGGCCATAGTTGGCAATTTTTAATCCATTCTGATAATCTCTGCCTTTCAGTTGCAGTGCTGAGTCTATAAATGTTTAAGGTAATTACTGGTGTGGTTGATTTAGGTCTTCCGTTTCACTGTTCATTTTCTGTGAGATGCGTCTGGTGGTCATGGTTCTGCTTTTTCTTTTTTCTTGTGTTTTTGGATTATTTGAATATTTTCTAGAACTGATTTTAATGTATCTGTTGACTATTAAGTTATTCCTCTTTGCATTATGTTTTTAATAGTTGCTCCAGGGATTAAAATACACATTCTTGGCCCGGCACGGTGGCTCAGGCCAGTAATCCCAGCACTTTGGGAGGCGGGTGGATCACCCAAGGTCAGGAGTTTGAGACCAGCCTGGCCAACATGGGGAAACCCTGTCTTTACTAAAAAATAAAATAAAAAAATTAGGCGAGTATGGTGGTGCATGCCTATAATCCCAGCTACTCGGGGGCCTGAGGCAGGAGAATCGCTTGAAACCAGGAAGCAGAGGTTGCAGTGAGCCACAATCACGCCACTGCATTCCAGCCTGAGCGGCAGAGCGAGACTCCGTCTCAAAGAAAAGAGAAAAAAAAGAATACACATTCTTAACCTTGTCTTTTATCAGTACAGTCTACTAAGAGTCACCATGATGCTGCGTTGTGTAAACTGTGACCTCTAACTGCACAGGTGCTTTTGTCACCTCCCCTTCGTCTTCTGTGCTGCAGTTTTCATAGACTAGACATCACATCCGCCTCCTGCAGTGTCAGGAGATTTGCTTTGGAAAACATGTGTTTGAAAGAAATTAAGAGGAAAAATGGCCTTATACTTGCCATTTCTGGTGCTCTTCATTTCTTCTTGAAGATCTGAGTGTTTGGCGTCATTCCCTTCAGCGTGAAGGATCTCCTTCAGCATCTCTTGCTGTGCTGCACACATTTTCTCCGTTTTTTGAAGTCTTTATTTTACCTTGATTCTTGAGGAGTATTTTTGTGGCATTAAAAAGTCTAAGGTGACAGGTTTCTTGTTCAGGATTTAAAGATGTTTAAAATCCTTCTCTGCAGATTTTATGATCTGTTTTGTCTTGGTGTTGGTTTCCATTGATTGTGTTTTCTCTTCAGCAGGGGTCACGTTTTCCTGCTTATTTATGGGTCAGCTGGGTTCAGGTTGCATCCTGGACACTGTGAGTGATAGATTTGGAGACTTTGGGTTCTGTCCTGCTCCTCTGGAGAGTGTTGGTTTTCTGTTGCAGCAGGCAGTTCACTCGGGTGACTTCAGACTGCATGCTCCCCTGCGTCTGTGCTGGGCTGCGGCATGGTGTTAATTCAGTTCTTGTAGCTTTAGCCGGCTTGCTTGCTTTTGGAGTCTGCCCCTCGTATGTACAGATCGGGGTCAGCCTGAGACGTGGGCGGGTTCCTTCCCAGGCGTTGCAGCTCTCTTTCCTCCCTCACTCTCCAGTTCCTCTGGCTCAGTGAGGGATTTGGGATTTCTGTGTGTGGGGCATGGACAGATACTACTCTTAGTGAAAAGCTGGAAAAAGAGAATGGCTCAGTGCTGTTTCTTCCTTCTGAATGTCCAGCCCTCTGCAGGGTCTGTCTGCTTGTGGATCTCTCCACAGCCTTCAGGTTTTTTTGTACGTTCTGTTCAGTTCATAGTGGTTGTCTCTGGAGGGCTGGTCTGGCGAGGTGCACAGGCATCACCAGAAGTAGCACCCTAAACTTTAATAACTTAATTTTTAAATAAGGAGTTGAGGTCAATCTTACGTGCCTTTTTTTGGGTTTTTTGTTTGTTTCTTTTTGATGAGTTCAGTAGTTTATTGACCTACTTTTTTCTCTTTGAAAGTCAGGAAGTCAGGCATGGTGGCTCACACCTGTAACAATCCCAGCACTTTGGGAGGCTGAGGCTGGCGGATTGCTTGAGCTCAGGAGTTCAAGATCAGCCTGGGCAACATGCAGAACCCTGTCTCTATAAAGGATTGCTTGAGCCCAGGAGTTCGAGGCTGCAGTGAGCTGTGATTGTGCCCCTGCACTCCAGCCTGGGCGACAGACCCTGTCTCAAAAAAAAAAAAAAGATTAGGATATTTGCCCTCTGCATTCTCCTTCATCCCCCTCTGCACAGGATCCCTTTACAGTGTGCCTTGCAGTTCATCCACCCCTTGCTCAAGGTCTTTCATTGTCCTGGCGTTGACCTTGTACAGATCGGGAGCATCGCACCATTGGCTGCTCTTGCCTCCTGGGCATCCGATCATGCTTGCTGCAGTGGCCCAGCGCTATCTGTGGGGCTGGCGTTCCCCTAACAGAGGCCTGCGGCCGATCTGAGTCCTGCCACTGGTCTTGGTCTGAACAAAGAAGCCTCCGGCTGCTGCCTTTGCTCGGCTGATGTGTGCTGCCTTCGGTTGTTGGTTGCTGTCAAGGCCACGGGCTCCAGAGATAAAGAACAGTCGGTTCTCGGTGCCAGGACGTAGGAGGCATTTTATTTAGTTTTAGACTTGTCCACTTTAGGTTTCTTCCATTGTCATCAACATGAGAATCATTCCTGTTGCTGTGTGCAGCGTAATGGGTGTGTGTGTGGTGAAAATTCCCTGTCTTCAGAGGTGGGTTTGGGTTGTCTCTTCTAATAATCTCTTCCATTAGCGTCTTTCCTCCTAAATGAAATTATGTTGTCTGTAGGTAAAACACAATCTAATTGAAGACCACCAGAAGGAACTAAATAATGCTAAGCAAAAGACTGAGCTGATGAAACAGGAATTCCAAAGAAAAGAAACGGACTGGAAAGTTATGAAGGAGGAGCTACAGCGGGAAGCTGAGGAGAAGTTAACATTGATGCTACTTGAACTGAGAGAAAAGGCTGAATCCGAGAAACAGACCATCATAAACAAGTTTGAGCTTCGAGAAGCTGAAATGAGGCAGCTTCAGGACCAACAGGCAGCCCAGATCCTGGATCTGGAGAGGTCCTTGACGGAGCAGCAGGGCCGCCTGCAGCAGCTGGAACAGGACCTCACTTCAGACGACGCCCTGCATTGCAGCCAGTGTGGGCGGGAGCCGCCCACAGCCCAGGACGGGGAGCTTGCTGCGCTCCACGTGAAGGAAGACTGCGCCCTGCAGCTGATGCTGGCCCGGAGCAGGTGGGTTTGCAGTGACGCCATCTGCAGTCCCTGTGAGGCCAGACACCTTGGAGGGTAGAAGGTGGGCAGGCTCCTGGGAGGAGGCGCTGTGGGCTCCACTGGGCGAAAAGGTCTGGAGGGAGCTGGAACAAGGTGTGGCGCTCTAGGTTTTCAGCCTAATTGCAGTGGGACAGCTTTGTGCTCGGACGGGCAGGCTGGCAGTTGCCATCCTGAAGCCCCCTGGCCGCAGTGGGACAGCTTTGTGCTCGGACAGGCAGGCTAGCAGTCGCCGTCCCGGAGCCCCCTGGCCGCAGTGGGACAGCTTTGTGCTCGGACGGGCAGGCTGGCAGTTGCTGTCCCGAAGCCCCCAGGCTGCAATGGGGACAGCTTTGTGCTTGGATGGGCAGGCTGGCAGCCGCCACCCCGAAGCCCCCCGGCCACAGTGGGACAGCTTTGTGTTTGGACGGGCAGGCTGGCAGCTGCCGCCCCAAAGCCCCCCAAGTCTGCACTCCCTGGGTGGGTGTCAGGGGCGGGGATCAGTCATTGTCTCTGTTGTTCTTCGTGTGTTTTAAGATTTGAACAGCAGAAGCTAAACCTCTTTTATAGGTGTCATAAGGACATGGAGTTTATCCACTAAGCGTTTTTGTGTTTTTTTTAACTTAAACAGGTGATTTTTAAAAATAAGCATGTTTTTCTGAAACATACACACTCTTCTTTGAAGTTTTCAAGAGGTTTAGAAAGTGATTGGGTTCTTTGCCTGTTGGTGCTGACCCTTTTTGCGAGCCTCAGTCCCAGGGCTGTGCCGTTCTTTCTCATCTGTCTGCCCCACCCAGCCCTTCCCCAGCAACCAGGGCCGCACAGGGCCCCGCTCAGGGATTGGAGAAACTCACGTTCAGGTCGCTGGGGCTGCATGAACACGAGCAGGACGCTCTTCTCACCAGGCTACGACATGCAGTTCGTGGTAGAGCTGAACCAAGGAGGCCCTCAAGAGAGGCTTCCAGGCGCAGAGGTGCCTGTGCCTCTTGCCATCCGTCCTGTGTCGCCAGTGCCCATTGGAGGCCTTGGCATTTTGCAGGACCCTCCAGCTCCAGGCTCTTTGGCCTCCTGATGGGAGCAGGTCCTTCTGTGAGGACTCTCCCTGCCTCTGTCTTTGGCCCTGAGTGCCGCCTGCACCTCCTTAATTCACTGCCACGGGGTTCTATTCACTTCCATGGGGTTCTATTCATTCACTGCCATGGGGGTTCTATTCATTCACTGCCATGGGGTTCTCCTCACTGCCGTGGGGTTCTATTCACTGCTGTGGGGTTCTGTTCACTGCCGTGGGGTTCTATTCATTCACTCCCATGGAGTTCTGTTCACTCCCATAGGGTTCTATTCACTGCCATGGGGTTCTATTCACTGCCATGGGGTTCTATTCACTGCCATGGGGTTCTATTCACTGCCGTGGGGTTCTGATCACTGCCGTGGGGTTCTGTTCACTGCCGTGGGGTTCTGATCACTGCCGTGGGGTTCTATTCACTGCCGTGGGGTTCTGTTCACTGCCGTGGGGTTCTGTTCACTGCCGTGGGGTTCTGATCACTGCCGTGGGGTTCTGATCACTGCCATGGGGTTCTATTCACTGCCGTGGGGTTCTGATCACTGCCGTGGGGTTCTGTTCACTCCCATGGGGTTCTGATCACTGCCATGGCCTTCTATTCACTGCCGTGGGGTTCTGATCACTGCCATGGGGTTCTATTCACTGCCATGGGGGTTCTATTCATTCACTGCCATGGGGTTCTCCTCACTGCTGTGGGGTTCTGTTCACTGCTGTGGGGTTCTATTCACTGCCGTGGGGTTCTATTCATTCACTCCCATGGAGTTCTGTTCACTCCCATAGGGTTCTATTCACTGCCATGGGGTTCTATTCACTGCCGTGGGGTTCCGTTCACTGCCACAGGGTTCTGTTCACTGCCGTGGGGTTCTATTCACTCACTGTCGTGGGGTTCTGTTCACTGCCATGGGGTTCTATTCATTCACTGCTGTGGGGTTCTATTCACTGCTGTGGGGTTCTGTTCACTGCCATGGGGTTCTAGTCACTGCCGTGGGGTTCTGTTCACTGCCGTGGGGTTCTATTCATTCACTGCCTTGGGGTTCTATTCACTCACTGCCTTGGGGTTCTATTCACTGCCATGAGGTTCTATTCATTCACTGCCATGGGGTTCAATTCACTGCCATGGGGTTCTCAGGCCTCGCCCTCCCCATGGGCCCCCATGGGCAGTGCCCCTTCCCTGTTGAGGAGCAGAGATTACCTTGGGATTCTTGGTTGGATGCTGGCTCGGACGCTGTGGTGTGAGTAGGAGGTTGGTTGTGCCTGCCGTGCGTGGCTCTGGCGGGGATGTGTGTGTGCCATCTCTTGCTGAGGGCGCTGGTTCCTACCTGTGGTCTGTGACCTGGCGACTCCCATGGCTTTGGCCTTTGGCCTCTGGGCTTCTCTGGCTTCATGGGGCCTCTTCACTCTCCCACTTACTATTTCTGGTGGTCGAGGGAAAAGTAGTAAGAGCAGTTAAAATCCCGAAACGATGACCTGAACAGTTGAAGTGGCATTTCCTGTGGGAAACTGACTTGGCTTTTGCAAGGGTCATTGCTTCCTGATGCATGTTTAACTGTCCTGTGTTCACTTTGTTGCCGCAGGTTTTTAGAGGAACGTAAAGAGATCACCGAGAAATTCAGTGCGGAACAAGATGCCTTCCTGCAGGAGGCCCAGGAGCAGCATGCCCGTGAGCTGCAGCTCCTCCAGGAGAGACACCAGCAGCAGCTCCTGTCAGTGACGGCGGAGCTCGAGGCCAGACACCAGGCCGCGTTGGGCGAGCTGACAGCCTCCTTAGAGAGCAAGCAGGGGGCTCTGCTGGCTGCACGTGTGGCCGAACTGCAGACAAAACACGCTGCCGACCTCGGCGCTCTGGAGACCAGACATCTGTCCAGCCTTGATTCTTTGGAATCCTGTTACCTCTCTGAATTTCAGACCATCCGTGAGGAGCACAGGCAGGCCCTAGAGCTCTTACGAGCAGACTTTGAGGAACAACTGTGGAAAAAGGACTCTCTTCACCAAACGATTTTGACTCAAGAGTTGGAGAAACTGAAGCGGAAACACGAAGGGGAGCTACAGTCTGTGCGGGACCACCTGCGAACCGAAGTGAGCACAGAGCTCGCCGGAACCGTGGCTCACGAGCTGCAGGGAGTGCACCAGGTAAGGCGCCAGGGCCCTGCCCCAGCCCAGGGCAGGCCTCTCCTCGCTGCCTGTGTGTTTCCACCGCGTGTCACATGTCTGCGTGCGTGCTGTGTGTGCCTGTGCGGGTGTCTGTGTGTCTCACAGGCTGCCGAGATCAGTGGGGACTTCTGGTCTCTTTGTGAACTGGGCTTTTTTTTTTTTTTTTGAGCCGGAGTCTCACTCTTTCGCCAGGCTGGAGTGCAGTGGCGCAATCTTGGCTCACTGCAACCTCCGCCTCCTGGGTTCAAGTGATTCTTCTGCCTCAGCCTCCCAAGTAGCTGGGATTATAGGCGCCTGCCACCATGCGCGGCTAATTTTTGTATTTTTAGTAGAGACTGGGCTTCACCATGTTGGCCAGGCTGGTCTCGAACTCCTGACTTCAGGCGATCCACCCGCCTTGACTCCCAAAGTGCTGGGATTACAGGTATGAGCCACCGCACCCGGCCTGAGCTGGGCTTTAAAACACTGAGTTGAAGGGTTATTTTGATCGCAGGCACCTTGTTAAAGGCTTTGCTCTCGTACGTATGTGGGAGGGCCTAGACCTTGGTGGGGGATTTTGTGGGCTTTGGAGTATTCCTCAAGGCTGACCAGCACCTCTGCAGAAGACTTGGTTTCCAGGCTGCTGTGGGAAGATCTGATGGTCATGTTGTGTATTCAGAGCCTTGGTCCCCTCCTTTTATTGATGTTTCCTGAAATAAAACCCTTTTGCTACATTTCAAGAGCAGTGATGGGCCAGGCACAATGGCTCACGTCTGTAATCACAGCAGTTTAGGAGGCTGAGGCAGTTGGATTACTTGAGCCCAGGAGTTTGAAACCAGCCTGTGGGCTACGAAAATTAAAAACAATTCACCGGGCGTGGGGGCACGCACCTGTAGTCTCAGCTACTTTGGAGGCTGAAGCAGGAGGATTGCTTGAGCCCAGGAAGTCGAGGCTGCAGGGTGAGCTAAGACTGTGCCACTGCACTCCAGCCTGGGCTGTAACAGAGTGAGACCCTGTCTCAAAAAAAAAACAAAAATAGCTCACACCTGTAATCCCAGCACTTTGGGAGGCCAAGGCGGGCAGATCACAAGGTCAGGTGATCGAGACCATCCTGGCTAACACGGTGAAACCCCGTCTCTACTAAAAATCCAAAAAAAAATTAGCTGGGGGTGGTGGCGGACGCCTGTAGTCCCAGCTACTTGGGAGGCTGAGGCAGGAGAATGATGTGAACCCGGGAGGCGGAGCTTGCAGTGATCCGAGATCGCACCAGTGCACTCCAGCCTGGGAGACAGAGCAAGACTCTGTCTCAAAAAAAAAAAAGCGGTGATGGTTCATTTGACAGGCACTTCCAAGTTTTTATCATGAAGAAGAATTTCTGGCGAAGTCCCTCTTGCCCTGGGCTGGCGCCTGACTGCAGAAGCTGCAGTGCCTGTGACTCAGGAAAGGACACGTGTTGTCGTATCACACACACCTTGTGCTTTCTCTGCCCTCAGTGAGGTCTCTGAGGTTTTCTCACCTTGAAATAGATGAGTCTGCTCTGTTGAGCATGTGGAGCCACTGGGGCTGGCCTATCTCCCTGCAGGAAGGGGATGCATAGGCCTGGCTGCACGGTGGATGGGGCATGGGCTAGAGCTGATGAGGCAGTTAGAAATGGTTGTTCTGGCAGATCAATACCTTGTCAGACGTTTAAGAAGTACACGTTCCAAACTATAAACGAGGGAATTGCCAGCTTGGATAAGGTGGATACGTTGATTTCCTGATACCAGCATGCCACGGGAGGGCTTCCTCCTTCCTGACTGTGGGGAACAGTTGTGAGGCTCCAAAGCGTTGGCTTATTGTTTGCTTTCCTTCAGCTCTGTGTAAGAACAGGAGAAAAGTGGAACCTTCTTTAATCGCTGTGAGGGTTTCATGTTATGTTTCAGGCTGTCTGTTTTGTGTGGTCTGAGCATGTGATCTTGGGGGAATTCCTAGAAAGCAGAATATGTTCAGGCTCCCTCTGCTCTCCTGAGTAAGGTGCAGTCAGTTGCCTGTCTCAGGCCTCTGTGTCCTGTCCTTGTCTTCACCACATGTCAGGGAGTCCTGGGGATGTGTTTTGTTTGTTTCTTTTTTGTTTTTTAAAAGACAGGGTCTCCCTGTGTTGCCCAGGCTAGTCTCGAACTCTTGGGCTCAAGAGATCCTCTTGCCTTGGCCTCCCAGGTAGTTGGAATTACAGGCATGAGCCACTGCTCCCAGCTTGGGAGGTGCCTCTTGAGAGAAGCTGGAGCCATGTTGTCTTTCTGGACAAAATTAGACAGGGGTCTGATGCTGCTGGGAGCTGCCCTCCAGGCCAGTCCTCAGATGCCAGCTTCAGTTTCCTTTCGTTCCCAGTTTTGATCATAGGCAAACAGATGCTTTGGAGAATAGCACTTGTTCCCAAGCTGTGGATTTAAAATTAGGTTTTCTTGGTTTGTTTGGTTTAAAGAAAATGAAGTTCTGAAAGAATATTCAGAAAGGAGGAACTTGCATATCACACATGAAGTGTGTGTTTCAAACCACGGCCTGATTTAGTCAGAGGAAGCATGTGGAGCGTGTGCACCTTCTGTGCCCTGTGTGGGGATGTGGCACATCTGGATGTTTCCTGGACGGAAGGAGCTGGTCGCAGCCCTGTGCAATCAGAGACGCCTGCTGGAGGCAGAGAGGACCAAAGCCCTGGACAGGGTGGGTGCCAAGGTCCTGCTCCTGGAGCATCAGCACCAAGCGGCCCTGCAGGAACTCAGAGATGTACGCTGCCAAGATGCAGGAGCATCAAGCAGGGCAGGCGGAGCTGGAGGAGCCGGGGGAGCCGGAGGTTCTGGGGGTGCTGGGGGAGCTACAGGTGCTGCGGGAGGGGCTGTGCAGGTGAGCAGCTCCACGTGTGTGGTTCCCACAGGGGTGCCTCCCCGGCTTCTCTGCCCTGAGTCTTCATCAGAGCGTTCAGGCACTTACGGATACACTTGGAGCCGCTGGATTGTGCGTGCAGTGGGGTCTGTGCTCAAAGAGTGCAGCTTCGTGGGGGCAGATGTGTCAGTGCACCTGGCCAGCGAGGCAGCTGCAGGGGTGGGCATCCGGGGGGGGGTGTCTTTGGTTGGCCTCCCCTCCTGTTGGGGCCTCCGGAGGGCAGGGTTCTGGTCTGGTCTGCAGGCAGTGAGTGGTCTGTGGCGCGACCAGATCTGTCCTACAGGCTACTTGGCAGCTGGACGAAACACAAAGTGGAGGCGATTCAGAGCCTGGGAGGTGCGGGGGTCGGGGAGGCTGGGGCTCATCCTGGGTGTCGCGCTAGGCAGCTGGGGGGATAGTGAGGGGTGCCTGCCAGCTGATGATGGCATAGGGAGGGGCATGGAGAGCCTGGGGGCTGACAGGGGAAGCCACGCTTAGCTGGAGGGGTCATCCCAGGTTGGACTGGTGCAGGGGATGTGGCTTGTGTAGACACAGAAGCACATTTAGTTGCTCTTATAAATCTGCACACGGGCTGGGCTTGGGGCTCATGCCTGTAATCCCAGGGCTTCGGGAGGCCACAGTGGGATGATCTCTTGAGCTCAGGAGTTCGAGACCAGCCTGGGGAACATAGCAAGAGTCCACTTCTAAAAATAAAAATCGGCCGGGCGCGGTGGCTCACGCCTGTAATCCCAGCACTTTGGGAGGCTAAGGCGGGCAGATCATGAGGTCAGGAGATCAAGACCGTCCTGGCTAACACGGTGGAACCCCGTTTCTACTAAAAATACAAAAAATTAGACAGGCATGGTGGTGGGCGCCTGTAGTCCCAGCTATTCTGGAGGTTGAAGCAGGAGAGTGGTGTGAACCCGGGAGGCGGAGGTTGTGGTGAGCTGAGATCGCGCCATTGCCCTCCAGCCTGGGCGACAGAGCGAGACTCCGTCTCAAAAAATATATATATGAAAATAAAAATAATAAATAAAAATTAACCAGGCATGGTGGTGCAGGCCTGTAGTTCCAGCTACTTGGGAGGCTGAGGAGAGAAAATTGCTTGAACCTGGGAATCTGAGGCTGCAGGAAAAAAAGAAAGAAATCTGCACACAGTATGGTTTATTTTCTTTCTTTCTTTTTTTTTTTTTTTTTTTAAAGACGGAGTCTCAAAAAAAGTCTAGAGTGCAGTGTCACGATCCTGGCTCACTGCAACCTCTGCCTCCCAGGCTCAAGCAGTCCTCCCACCTCAGCCTCCCAAGTAGCTGGGATACAGGCACGGGCCACCACGCCTCGCTAATTTTTATTGTTTTGTCTCCCAGGCTGGTCTTGAACTCATGGGCTCAAGTGATCCTCCCGCCTTGGCCTCCCCAAAGCACTGGGATTACAGGTGTGAGCCTCTGCACCTGGCCAGTGTAGTTACTTACTTTTTCAGTTTTTTAAAATCTTGTGTGTCAGAATATGCGTAAGCACTGGTACCAAATTGTGTCAGAAGAAGCCAGACTGAGTAGTCGGAATCCCCCTTGGATTCCCAAGGTGGCCGTGAAGGGGCCTGGCTGAGGTCCCCTGCCACCTGCTGTGGTCTTGATTCTCTGCACCTATGCAGGACTGCATTTAAGCAGCAAGGTCTCCCCACTTGTGGACCCGTGCACCTGCCCCATCCAGGCGCCACCACCCCGCCTGCTGGTCTGCATGATGAGCACACGCACACACAGCACATGTGCACACACAGCACATGCACACACACATGCAGACACAGCACATACAGCACATGTGCACACAGCATGTGTGCACACACACAGCACATGCACACACAGCACATACACAGCACATGTGCGCACACAGCACATGCGCATGCTCACACAGCATGTGCGCACAAACAGCACATACATAGCACATACACACATGCAGCACATGCACACACACACAGCACATGCACACACACAGCACATACATGCAGCACTCACAGCATATGTGCCCATACAAGGCACATGCACACAGCACATGCGCACACATAGCACATGTGCATACACAGCACATGCACACATGCAGCACACTCACAGCACATGTGCCCATACAAGGCACACGCACACACACAGCACATGCACACACAGCACACACACAGAGAGCACATGCACACAGCACATGTGCACACACAGCACATGCACATACACAGCACATGTGCACGTGTAGCACATGCATGCACACAGCACATACACATAGCAGATGTGCACACAGCACGCACACACAACACGTGCACACACATGCACACGTGCTTACACAGCACATGTTCATACAGCACATGCTCATACACGCAGCACATGCACACATACACAGCACATGCACACATGTCATTCTGCATGTTGTCCTGCAGGATGAATGCCTGGGGCCCTCCTGCTTCTGTGTTCTGGGTCTGTACGATTTTCTGGCCTTTCTGTGGGGGGAGGGTTAGAGTCTGGAGCACTTCAGAAATAATTGATAATTTATTTGAAGCATTATGTGCAAATTTTAGGTGATTATGGTACATATGGTTTCAAGGGGGTTTTAAACAAGGACATGCTAAGATCTCATTTCTAGCCATAAAGTAAGGTTTTGAACCTGAAAGGTTTGCTTGGTGAAGAGGGACTGCTCCTGAGAATGGGTGATGCAGCGCCGGATTCTGAGGTTAGAAATGACTTGTTTCTTCACGTGGACAGCTCTGGGTGCTGCCCAGTGTGGACACTGGCCCCTCAGTCCTGAGGCACAGCCCTGAGACCTGCACCCTGCTGGGTATCGTGTGGGTCTGTCTTCTCTGGAAAAGTCAGATTCTGTCTCGCTTTTCCAGGGACTCATGCTAAAGAAATTCTGTCCGTTTTATCTGTGCATAGCACAAGGAGGTGTTCGTTTTCTGAAATCGTGTGTCACCTGTGTCCTTTAACCTGTACTTTTGTTCTTCTAGGGTGACTGTTGTTGTTGTTGTTTTGGAGGGAGGATCTTGCTCTGTCGCCCAGGCCGAAGGTAGTGATGCAACCACAGCTCACTGTGACCTTGAACGCCTGGCCTCAAGTGGTCCTCCTGCCTCAGCCTCTTGAGTAGCTGGGACTACAGATGTGCACCACCATGCCTGGCTAATTTATTTTTTGTAGAGATGGGGTCTCACTGTGTTGCCCAGGCTGGTCTTAAATTCCTGGCCTCAAGCAATCCTTTTGTCTCAGCCTCCCAAAGTGCTGGGACCATAGGCGTGAGCCGCGCCTGGCCTGGACTATTATCGGAATACTCCTAGAGCGTCTTTGCAGTATTTTTGTAGTTGAGGTACAGGTTTGCGCGAGTAAGTTAGCTTTTTACTTTGCTGCTAGGGATGTGCATGTCAATACTCTTTTTTTTTTTTTTTTTTTGAGACAGAGTCTCGCTCTGTCTCCAGGCTGGAGTGCAGTGGCGTGATCTTGGCTCACTGCAACCTCTGCCTCCCTGGTTCAAGGGATTCTCCTGCCTCAGCCTCCCAAGTAGCTGGGACTACAGGCATGCGCCACCATGCCTAATATTTGTATTTTTAGTAGAGATGGGGTTTCACCATGTTGCCCAGGGTGGTCTGATCTCTTGACCTCGTGATCCGTCCGCCTCACCCTCCCTAAGTGCTGGGATTACAGATGTGAGCCACCGCGCCCAGCCTTAGCTTTTTTTTTTTTTTTTTTTTGGGCGGAGTCTCGCTCTGTCGCCAGGCTGGAGTGCAGTGGCATGATCTTGGCTCACTGCAACCTCCGCCCCCCGGGTTCAAGCGATTTTCCTGCCTCAGCCTCCTGAGTAGCTGGGATTACAGGCACATACCACCACGCCTGGCTAATTTTTATATTTTCAGTAGAAACAGCGTTTCACCATGTTGGCCAGGCTGGTCTCGAACTCCTGACCTTGTGATCTGTCCGTCTTGGCCTCCCAAAGTGCTGGGATTACAGGCGTGAGCCACTGCGCCCGGCCGCTCAGATACTCTTTTATGTGATTGTTTTGGTGTAGCTGATTTCACAGAAGAAAACAATTGGGCTGTGGGGAGGTGGGATGTACTCTTTATTTTATATTATGTTTTTTGGGGCAGAGGGCAGCATTTGCAGGAATAGAATAACTCAGCAAGCCCCCGGTCCCGCTGGTTAGTGGGGTGCACGTTCAATACATCAGTCCCCCTCTCCTCCTGATTGTTTAGAAGCAAATCCAAGACACCATGTGTCTGCGAGTGAGGTGTTTTCCCCCAATACAGCATAACCATGATCCATTCTCACCTAAAACATCCACAGCGATCCCTGCATTTCATCACAAGCCCAGCCCACGTGCCAGTCTCTTCTGGCTGGCTCACATCAGGATCTATTTGTTCCTGTGATGCTGGTCACTGTTCCCTCGTTCCTGCAAGCGTGTTGGTAGATCCACAGGCCTGTGATTGGTGAGAATGCTTCTTGTATGGTGGCCACTCCTCTCCTGGTCTCCTGGTCTTTCCTCAGGCTTTACACCGTGAAAAGACATAACACAAGCTGGCTGCAGTGGCTCACGCCTGTAATCCCAGCACTTTGGGAGGCCGAGGCGGGTGCATCACCTGAGGTTGGGAGTTCGAGACCAGCCTGACCAACACAGAGAAACCCTGTCTTTACTAAAAATACAAAACTAGCCAGCCATGGTGGCACATACCTGTAATCCCAGCTACTCGGGAGGCTGAGGCAAGAGAATCGCTTGAACCTGGGAGGTGGAGGTTGTGGTGAGCCAAGATCGTGCCGTTGCACTCCAGCCTGGGCAACAAGAGCAAAACTTCGTCTCAAAAAAAAAAAAAAAAAAAAAAGTTACACAGAGCCCTGCCAAGCCCTGACGGGAGTGTTTTGGGTCATTGTCCCAGAATAGCTGGGATGTCCTGTTCTTCCCCGCGGCGATGCTTTATCTGAGCCTCAAATATCTTTGCACCTGTTGGAACAGCAGTCACTTGTCAGCAGTGTGACTTGACCTACACTTGTGGGGTGATTGGATTACTTTCCGGGATACCGCCCTTGAGAGTTTGGTTGTGAGGAAAGTCCTCTGAAAACGTAAGCTTGATTTCTTTTTGATAGAAGTATGTATCCCATAAGATTCCCCTGCCCTGCCCTGCCCCGCCTGTGCTGGTAACACGACGCAGAGCTGAGTGCAGAAGTGAATCGCATGCGGCCGGTGTGGGATGCTCAAGGCGGTGTCATCTTTTCTCGGATTGAAAACCCAAATCTATTCATAGGTTAATTATTTTAATATTAAGATAATATTAACGTTGGTTTAGATAGCATTTGAATGTCCTAAATGCGTTCTCAATTGAATGTCTTTGCCTTCTGACATTGGTATTCTCTGTGCATGCCACTTACTTATGATTAAAACATATGTGATATTTTTCTATAATTGTGTGGATTTTAGAAAAACCTGAAAATAACTTTTTTTGAAACGTCTTTTTTGATACTGACCTCACAGCTTAGAAGAACATGGTCAATTTAAAGAGTTTTATTCCAGGCTAGAGCCTCTGCCAGGGGGTTGCAGGAAGAAAATCTCCTTTGAGCCGGCCCGGTCAGATTGAGGGGGTGGCTGAGGACGCACGCTTCTGCTCGACATTGTGGCCGAGCCGAGGCCCTGGGCCTGAGGGATCACATGTGGGGCACTGGCCGTCTCACTGCTGGGCCTGCATGCCTGTGACCTGCCCAGCCCTGCCCGACGTCTCCTGGGGGCTGTCCCCCCGCGGGGAGCCGCCTCATTTGGCCTCCACCACCTCCTACGTCCTCTGCAGGTCTGCCGAAGGCCTGAGAGTGTGCAGGCAGGACAGGGCCAAGCGTGGACAGTTAGGGTGGCTCCCCTGGGTGCGAGGCGGTACCTGCGGGTGGTGCTGTGCCTTGAAACAAAGCGAAGGTCAAGACTGCACACATGGAGCTTCCAGCTGCCAGTGGGTGGAGGGAGCGCCACCTCTGTCTGCCATGCCCGGGCGTCCTGGTGGGCTGCGTGCAGTGTTGGCACTCCCTGGCTGGGGTTCTCTGTGGAGCCTGCCCTCTACCCTCTCCGTCTGCAGTGTGTGACTCTGGGATCCCGGAGGCCGCGGGGCTAGAGCGTGGCACCAGCTGTGCTCCTGAGTGGGGCGTAGTTTGGGACGCCTGGAGCTTAGGCCAGGCTCCGCAGGCTCTGGGGGTGTCCAATGTTCTTGGGCTCCCGTGTTGGCCTCAAACAGAAGTTTGATTTTCTCATTGTTACACGGTAGGCCTCTATGAGAGATTTTTGTCCAAAGAGAGTAAGTAGTCTGTGGCTCAGAAAGATGTTCAAAGGACCACTGATTTCAGCCTTGGACTCTTGCCACATCCTTTGCTGGGCACCGGGAGCGCAGAGGTTTGCCCTCGGGCCCCACAGGCTGACGCTGTGGATGCCAGGAGGGAAGCGCCTGATCTGTGCCTGGCTGGGCCTGAGGAGCCCGTCCACTGTGTCTGAGCATGAGCTGTTGTGGGCACCATGGTGGCGCCTGGTCTTGAGGATTAATTTTCCTGTTTTCCCAGTCCCTTGGCCTCTGTCCTGCCGGGTGCATTGGCATTTGGGGTTTTGTTCTTGAATTCACCAGCGTTTTGTGGTTGGTGTACACTGAACCAGCATCCCTGTTTGGACCTCTTACTCCTGGCCCGCTGCCCCCTCCCTGGCTGTTGGTCCGGATCAATGCGTCTGTCCCCCAGGAGACGCACTGCTGATGGTTGGGGTATCAGCAAGGTAATTAAAGTTCTTTGGAAACTTTGTAGTGTGCACAGCTCAGAAGTTAATCTTAAGTCCTTCCTTTCAAACAGATGGAACTAAATCAAATCCAGGAGAGAAAGTTGATTAAAGTGAACTGTACTCACATTCCAAATGGCCTTGAGACCTTGCGAGTGACTTCAGTGTTGTGCCGTGCGAACCCGTTTCTGGTCCCTGTGACTAAGATGCAGATGCACAGCCCACCTGGCACCTCAGCAAGTTCCAGGCCGGCGCGGGGGGCACCCGATCCTTTATCCTTTTCCTCCCCATGGCTTATCACACAAAAAAAGGTAGAGAATAAAGGTCATTTCTGGTGTCAGGGCTTCCATGTGTTTATTGAAACTGTTGCCCCAGTTACTTCAGAAAAGGCACTCACTCATTGTTGACGTCTTCCTCCTCCTGAAGCTGGTGGAGCCCCAGCCCTCAGCCCTCCTGGCCGTGCTGGGCAGGGAGCGGGAGCCGGCAATCCACCCCAGATGTTCTGGAGCAGCAGGTCCCGGAGCAGCAGGTCCCACTGCTGAGGACATGGGCTTCGTGCTGTCCTTTCCTGCCTGCTAAGTAGATACAAAAAACTTACTTTATCAGTTACCTTTTCACATGCCAAGTCAAAACACAAAATAATTTCATTGTCTTAAAACTGAGCTTTTTCTAGGCAACTTTTGTCAGGCCTTTTTATATTTAAATCTGCTGTGTAACACACCTTTTCTACCAAGAATCTGTCATCACTTATCTTAGAGCTGAGAAAAGTTTATTCTAAAATATTTCATCACCTCAAAAAGAAACCCCCAGTGGCTCGTGCCTATAGTCCCAGCACCTTGGGAGGCTGAGGCAGGAGGATTGCTGGAGCCCAGGAGTTCAAGACCAAAAATAAAAAAATACTAAAAATAAAAAAATTAGCCTGGCATGTTGGCGTGCCCATATAGTTCCAGCTACTCAGAGGCTGAGGTGGGAGGACCACTGGAGCCCAGAAGGTTGAAGCTGTAGCAAGCTGACATCGCACCACTGCACTCCAGGCTGCATGACAGCAAAACGTTGTCTCAAAAGATAATCAATGAAAATTAAGGAAGAAAACAAGAAACTCCCCATTCTCCCTTCTCCCCCATGCCTGGTGATGTGCCGTCTGCTTGCCGTACCTGTGGGCGTCCTACGTACATAGACTCAGCGTGTGCCCTCGGTGTCCGCGGCTTTCACTTTGTGTGTTTCCCAGGTTGGCGCACGTTGTAGCATGTGTCAATACTTGCTTGGTATGTGTTTTCTGCATATCTTATGCCCTTTTTGTTCTGTATTCCTCCATTACTGCCTTTTTTCACTTTAATTTCCTTGATGTTTCCTTTACCATACGGTGGTCGCCCCTTACCCACAGGGGATGCATTCCAAGACCCCCAGTGGGTGCCTGAAATCGTGAATGGTTCTGAACCCCTTATATGCTGTTTTTGTCTATACATACCTGTCATCAACTTTTACCTTAAAGGAATCACCCTGTGGTGTCTCTGGCATATCTGAATTGCTCCGTCATCAACTTTTAACTGAAAGGCATCACTCTATGGTGTCTCTGGCACGTCTGAATTGCAGCATTGCAATTGAACGGCCTCTCTTGCGCTTTGGGGCCGTTATTAAATGAAGTAAAGGTGACTTGAACACAGGCACTGTGATGCTGTGACAGTTGGTCTGATCACCGAGATGCCTGCGTGTGGGCAGGTAGTGCTTGCCACGTGGATAACGCCGGACAGAAGGATGACCCCCGGCCTGGCCTGCGAGATTTCCTCACACCGTTCAGCTTGGGGGCAGGCAGTTTAACACTCATAAGAGTTGTTTACTTCTGGAATTTTTCATACGATATTTTCAAAATGACGTTGAACACAAGTAACTGAAACCGCAGACAAAGGGGACTGATATATATTGAGTTATTTTCTTAGCGCTTGCCCTGAGCGTTACAGCAAGCACCTTCTAACAATCTGGTTTGGATTAATACCAACTTAATTTTAAAAGTTTACAAAACCATTTGCTAATGTAGCATCATTCCCTCGTCTGCCCTTTGTGCTCATATTGTCGTACCAACCACATCTTTCTATCTTTTTGTGCTCGTTACTTTATGCACGTGTCTTTTAAACCAGGAGGAAGAAGAATTGTAAACAAAAGCCATGTTGTTTTGTCTCCTGTTTTCTCTGTGTCGTTACCTGCACTACTGCTGCTCGTTTCTTCCTGGAAATTCAGGTCTGGTGCCTTATGTTTCAGCCCGAAGGACTTCCTCTGGGATTTCTTGAAGGACAGGTCTGCTAGTGATGAATCCTCTTAGCTTTTGTTTTTGTGGGAATGTCTTAATTTCTCCTTCATCCTTGAGAGATCATTTCCTGGATGTGGACTTCAAGATCCAGGCTTTTCCTTCAGTGCTGCGTGGGCTCTCCGCTGCCTCCCCTGTCATCCGGGGCTGCGTGTCGTGAGCTGCGCCCGTCTTCCTGGGCTGCGTGTCGTGAGCCGCGCCCGTCTTCCCGGGCCGCGTGTCGTGAGCCGCACCCATCTTCCTGGGGCTACGTGTCTTGAGCGGCACCCATATACCTGCTGTGCACTGGCTGGCCTCAAGCTTTGTCCTGAACCCTGCTGAGGTTTGGCTGTGATGGGTGAAGTGTGGGTCTCTGTCAGTTTGTCCTACTTGGAGTTCATTGAGCTTGTATGTGGGGATTATTATTTTTATTATTATTGTTATTTTCATCAAATTTGGGAGGTTTTTGGCCGTCGTGTCTTCAAGGGTTCCTCTGCCCTTTTCTCTCCCTCTGTCTGGCTTGAGGGTGCCCCACAGGCCTTGGAGACTGCTGAGTTTTCTTCATGTTTCTTTCTGTTCCCTGACTGGATCGTCTTAATTGACCTATCTTCCAGCGTGTGAATTCTGTCTTCTGCCTGCTCGAGTCTGCTGCCGAACCCCTCTCTAGTGAATTTTTTTTTCTGTGATTGTATTTTTCAGCTCCAGATGTCAAGGGAGCTCTATTTCAGTCTTTCTCTCTGCTGAGGGCCCTGCGTGCATTGTGCCCTCAGGGCTCTGGCGGGCGGTGGACAGCCTGGCCCTGGCCTTCACCCCTGCTGTGCCAAGCCACATGGTCACTGCAGCCGGCCCAGGACCTCTTGGGCCTTTCCAGCGTGGGCACAGCCCTGCACGTGTTCACACCTTGTAGAGTCCCAGAAGATGTCAGAGCTTTCCAGAGGCCCCTGTGGACATCGCATTCTCAAGTGTTTTCTTTTGTTTTTCTGGCAGTCCCTTATTAGTCCCAACTGGTTTCTCTACTGTGGGCAGTGCGGCTATTAAACACTTGACACTGACTGTTTCCAACCGGTGCCCTGGGGTAGATTTTTTTTTTTTTTTTTTTTTTTTTTTTTTTTTTTTTTGAGACAGAGTCTCTGTCGCCCAGGCTAGAGTGCAGTGGCGCAATCTAGGCTCACTGCAAGCTCTGCCTCCCAGGTTCACACCATTCTCCTGCCTCAGACTCCCGAGTAGGTGGGACTACAGGTGCCCACCACCACACCCAGCTAATTTTTGTATTTTTAGTAGAGATGGGGTTTCACCATGTTAGCCAGGATGGTCTCGATCTCCTGACCTTGTGATCTGCCCGCCTTGACTTCCCAAAGTGCTGGGATTACAGGCGTGAGCCACCGCGCCCGGCCAACCCTGGGTAGAATTTTTGACACCGAGAGCTCTGACCCAGTCACGGCAGCAAGGTGCCCGGCAGGTGGGCTCGGGCAGTTGTGCATGGAAATTTTGGGGTGCTCCAAATCCATTCTGTCCCCCACCCCACCCCAGCAGCTACTGGTTTTCAGGGCTGTTAGATTGGAGAGGAGATATGGAGTCAGGGCAAAGTTAAGCACCTGAAGTTTGTTCTTATGGACACTCAGCCTGTGTTTTCCATAAACACTCTTCGGATGATTGCAAACCTGACCAGATTTCCACAGCTCTGAAAACACTGGTTTTGATGGTTTTTACCACTTTTTCTTTTATAGAGGAACAGATTTTGGAGGTCCTTACTTTGCCATTCTAGAAGTGCTACCTCTGGAAGTTTAAAAAAATAAGCTTATTTCATTAATTTAATTGGCCGGGTGCAGTGGCTCACACCTGTAATCCCAGCACTTTTGGAGGCCAGTGTGGGTGGATCACTTGAGGTCAGGAGTTTCAGACTAGCCTGGCCAACAGGTTTTGGTAGAAACCCTATCTCTACTAAAAGAAAAATTACAAAAATTAGTTGAGTGTGGTGGCAGGCGCCTATAATCCCAGCTACTCGGGAGACTGAGGCAAGAGAATCCCGTGAACCTGGGAGACAGAGGTTGTAGTGAGCTGAGATCACACCACTGCATTCCAGCCTGGGTGACAGAGAAGAGTCCTTCCAAAAAAAAAAAAAAAAAATCTCTGTGTGTGTGTGTGTGTGTGTGTGTGTGTGTGTGTGTGTGTGTGTGTGTATAGAATTCATCTATTGAACCTTATTTAAAAGGTTTTGTTATTTAGAAAGAAGGTTTAATCTTTTAAAAGGGAAGGAACCTAGGTTTCCAAATATCTTGGGTTTTCATGGCTGTAATTCCTTGATGGTGAACTTCTTAGTGTGACTCTTAAAGATGTTACAGGAGCCATTTGGGAATGGTAGTGAGCAGTTGCTTATGACACGCAGCTGTCACCAGTGCGAACTTGTGTCTCCTTAAGTGTTTTATCCCCGAAACCAGGACTTTGTGTTCCCAGTGAAGTCCTTGAACCCATGTTTTCTTTGATGGGGGCTGTGGTCTGGCTCATCCCGGCTCTTGGTGCAGAGTGGGGGCTCCATGCATATCTGCTGAATGTGCTGAATTCCGGCTAACAGCAAAGAAAGTATTTTTCTAGCTTACTGGTATTTTTTATTGTTATTGATGTGTACAGGGTGAATTTGGAAGTGAAAAGAAAACTGCTTTGCATGAAAAAGAGGAGACACTTCGGCTTCAGAGTGCACAGGCACAGCCTTTTCACCAAGAGGAGAAAGAGTCTTTGTCTCTGCAGCTTCAAAAGAAGAATCACCAAGTCCAGCAGGTGTGTGGAATACGCTGTTCCCTTGTGATAAGACGTGTATAGCATAAAAATCATTTTCACTTTATTTCAGTGCACAGTTCAGTGGCAGGAGTGCACTCATGGTGTTGTGCATTTATAGTGTTGTACATTCAGTGGCGGAAGCGCATTCACAGTGTTGTAGATTCAGTGGCGGAAGCGCATTCACGGTGTTGTGCATTCAATGGCGGAAGCGCATTCACCATGTTGTATATTCAGTGGCGGAAGCGCATTCATAGTGTTCTGCATTCAGTGGCAGAAGCACATTCACGGTGTTGTGCATTCAGTGGCGGAAGCGCATTCATAGTGTAGATTCAGTGGCGGAAGCGCATTCATAGTGTAGATTCAGTGGCGGAAGCGCATTCATAGTGTTCTGCATTCAGTGGCGGAAGCCCATTCACGGTGTTGTGCATTCAGTGGTGGAAGCGCATTCATGGTGTTGTGCATTCAGTGGTGGAAGCGCATTCACAGTGTTGTATATTCAGTGGCGGAAGCGCAATCACAGTGTTGTATATTCAGTGACGGAAGCGCATTCACAGTGCTGTGCATTCAGCAGCAGAAGCGCATTCACGGTGTTGTATATTCAGTGGCGGAAGCGCATTCACCATGTTGTATATTCAGTGACGGAAGCGCATTCACGGTGTTGTGCATTCAGTGGCAGAAGCTCATTCACAGTGTTGTGCATAGTTCAGTGGCGGAAGCACATTCACGGTGTTGTATATTCAGTGGCGGAAGCGCATTCACGGTGTTGTGCATTCAGTGGCGGAAGCGCATTCACGGTGTTGTGCGTTCAGTGGCGGAAGCGCATTCACGGTGTGCGTTCAGTGGCGGAAGCGCATTCACAGTGTTGTATATTCAGTGGCGGAAGCGCATTCACAGTGCTGTGCATTCAGTGGCGGAAGCGCATTCACCGTGTTGTATATTCAGTGACAGAAGCGCATTCACGGTGTGCATTCAGTGGCGGAAGCGCATTCACGGTGTTGTGCGTTCAGTGGCGGAAGCCCATTCATGGTGTTGTGCATTCAGTGGCGGAAGCGCATTCACGGTGTTGTGCATTCAGTGGCGGAAGTGCATTCACAGTGTTGTATATTCAGTGACGGAAGCGCATTCACAGTGCTGTGCATTCAGTGGCGGAAGCCCATTCACGGTGTTGTGCATTCAGTGGCGGAAGCCCATTCACAGTGCTGCGCATTCAGCAGCGGAAGCGCATTCACAGTGTTGTATATTCAGTGGCGGAAGCGCATTCACAGTGCTGTGCATTCAGTGGTGGAAGCCCATTCACGGTGTTGTGCATTCAGTGGCGGAAGCGCATTCACAGTGTTGTATATTCAGTGGCGGAAGCACATTCACCATGTTGTATATTCAGTGGCGGAAGCGCATTCACAGTGTTGTATATTCAGTGATGGAAGCGCATTCACAGTGCTGTGCATTCAGCAGCGGAAGCGCATTCACGGTGTTGTGCGTTCAGTGGCAGAAGCACATTCACGGTGTGCATTCAGTGGCGGAAGCGCATTCACCATGTTGTATATTCAGTGACGGAAGCGCATTCACGGTGTTGTGCATTCAGTGGCAGAAGCGCATTCACGGTGTTGTGCGTTCAGTGGCAGAAGCGCATTCACAGTGTTGTATATTCAGTGGCGGAAGCGCATTCACCATGTTGTATATTCAGTGGCGGAAGCGCATTCACAGTGTTGTATATTCAGTGATGGAAGTGCATTCACAGTGCTGTGCATTCAGCAGCGGAAGCGCATTCATGGTGTGCGTTCAGTGGCAGAAGCGCATTCACGGTGTTGTGCATTCAGTGGCGGAAGCGCATTCACAGTGTTGTGTATTCAGTGGCGGAAGCGCATTCACAGTGTTGTATATTCAGTGATGGAAGCGCATTCACAGTGCTGTGCATTCAGCAGCGGAAGCGCATTCACGGTGTTGTGCGTTCAGTGGCAGAAGCGCATTCACGGTGTTGTGCGTTCAGTGGCGGAAGCGCATTCACCATGTTGTATATTCAGTGACGGAAGCGCATTCACGGTGTTGTGCATTCAGTGGCAGAAGCGCATTCACAGTGTTGTGCGTTCAGTGGCAGAAGCGCATTCACAGTGTTGTATATTCAGTGGCGGAAGCGCATTCACCATGTTGTATATTCAGTGGCGGAAGCGCATTCACAGTGTTGTATATTCAGTGATGGAAGCACATTCACAGTGCTGTGCATTCAGCAGCGGAAGCGCATTCACAGTGTTGTATATTCAGTGGCGGAAGCGCATTCACAGTGTTGTATATTCAGTGATGGAAGCACATTCACAGTGCTGTGCATTCAGCAGCGGAAGCGCATTCACGGTGTTGTGCGTTCAGTGGCAGAAGCGCATTCACGGTGTTGTGCGTTCAGTGGCGGAAGCGCATTCACAGTGTTGTATATTCAGTGGCGGAAGCGCATTCACAGTGCTGTGCATTCAGTGGCGGAAGCCCATTCACGGTGTTGTGCATTCAGTGGCGGAAGCGCATTCACAGTGTTGTATATTCAGTGACGGAAGCGCATTCACGGTGTTGTGCATTCAGCAGCGGAAGCGCATTCACCATGTTGTATATTCAGTGATGGAAGCGCATTCACGGTGTTGTGCATTCAGTGGCAGAAGCGCATTCACGGTGTTGTACATTCAGTGACGGAAGAGCATTCACGGTGTTGTGCGTTCAGTGGCGGAAGCCCATTCACGGTGTTGTGCATTCAGTGGTGGAAGCCCATTCACAGTGCTGTACATTCAGTGGCAGAAGTGCATTCGTGGTGTGCATTCAGGGGCGGAAGTGCATTCACGGTATTGTGCATAGTTCAGTGGCAGAAGCGCATTCACGGTGTTGTGCGTTGAGCGGCGGAAACACATTCATGGTGTTGTGCGTTGAGCGGCGGAAGCGCATTCACGGTGTTGTGCGTAGTTCAGTGGCGGAAGTGCATTCATGGTGTTGTGCGTTGAGCGGCGGAAGCGCATTCACGGTGTTGTGCGTTCAGTGGCAGAAGTGCATTCACAGTGTTGTGCATAGTTCAGTGGTGCAAGTGCATTCATGGTGTTGTGCGTAGTTCAGTGGTGCAGGCACATTCACGGTGTTGTACATTCGGTGATGGAATCACATTCACAGTATTGTGCAGCCATCACCACCATCCATCTCCAGAAGTCTTCATCTTGCAAAACTGAACTCTGTCCCCATTAGACTCTCACTCCCCATTTGCCCTCCCCTGGCACCATGGCTCACACCTTTAATCCCAGCACTTCGGGAGGCTGAGGCAGGAGGACCACTCCAGCCCAGGAATTCGATACCAGCCTGGGCAACATAGGGAGACCCTGTCTCTATAAAAAATTAAAAAAATTAGCCGTGTGTGGTGGCACGCACCTGTAGTCCCAGCTTCTCAGAAAGCTGAGGTGGGAGGATTGTTTGTGCCCTGGAGTTTGAGGCTACAGTGAGCTGTGATTGTGCCACTGCACTCCAGCCTGGGCAACAGAGTGAGACCCTGTCTCAGAAAGAAAGATCTTTGCCTGCCTGGCAA
This sequence comes from Homo sapiens, assembly GCF_000001405.40. Lineage (NCBI taxonomy): Eukaryota > Metazoa > Chordata > Mammalia > Primates > Hominidae > Homo > Homo sapiens. Next base: position 46,385,385 of record NC_000021.9, read on the forward strand.
CTGACTTTTGTGAATGACCAGATACAGTGACTTATTTCGAATTGCTGTTTGAGTGGTGGATCTCTGATGAACTGGCCCCTTCCCTCCCCTAGCCTCAGGTTCCACCTGGGGATGTTTGTGTATTCTTTTGTAAATGATGAATAATGGAGGAAAAACCGTATCAATAATTTTCACCTTTAATCAGCACCTCGTTCACCTTTGCCGTATTTTTATTAAATGTGCAGGTGCTCCTTGGCCTTTGCTGAGGTCACGCCTTTGACCACTGTCAGTGGAAGGCGTTGTGAGTCGAGGAACGTGCCGAAGTGCCTGCTCCTTTTGCCCCATCACCAAGCTGAAAAGTCCTAAGTCAGAGACTCTCAAATACTGAAATTGTGTTGAAAGTCCCTTACAGCCATTTGCTTTTAACCAAATTGTTTTAACGAAAGCTTTAACCATTTTTCTCGATAGCTGAAAGACCAGGTTTTATCCTTAAGTCACGAGATAGAAGAGTGCCGCTCCGAGTTGGAGGTGCTGCAGCAGAGGCGGGAGCGGGAGAACCGGGAAGGCGCAAACCTCCTCTCCATGCTCAAGGCCGACGTCAACCTGTCCCACAGCGAAAGGTCAGTGTGTCCTCGGCACCGAGGCTGCCTTGTGGCCGCCAGCACCCGCTGGGTCATGCAGATGCCATTGGTCCCCACGGCTCCTGGCCCCGTGGCTGCTGCCACCATGCACGCTGGCTCCTGGTGGACGGGGACCCGGCTTCCTTCTTCTCTCAGTTAGAAAGATTGTAAGCACCGGGAAGAAATCGCCTGCTGTGTCTCATCTCCCAGCCCCCGTGCCCTCCTCCCACCCTGCCTGCTGTGTCTCATTTCCCCATCTGGCCAGATTAAAACCAGCCGTTATCTCCCACACAGAGCCCGACCCCTCCCCTTTAGTGTCTGCGTCCCCGCAGCGTGTCCTCGTCCCCGGCACGGGGTGCAGGCCCACATGTCTCGTGGTTCCTGTGCTTTGGACTGTGTGCAAGTGTCGTGCCTCATGCATCTCTCTCTGTGACGTGTGTTTCTGAGACCGGCCCAAGCAGGGGCCGTAGCCCTGTCCGTTCCTTTCTCCATTGGGAGCCTGTGCCTGGGTAGCTGCAGGCACTGGGCTGAGCGCCCAGCCCCGAGGGCTCTCCCAGGGCGGGGTGTGGGTCTGCTTACCACGGGCCGTGGGGCCGCCTTCCCTGAACGCATGGGTCCAGGCCACATCCTGCCTTGGTGCCTCCTCACCTGCAGTGATGCTGTCCAGCAGGCTTGTCTGCCCTTTTGTCGCGTGTGGGGTCTTGAGAAACTTTTTGCTCCTCTGACACCATGGAGGTTTTTCCCAGGTCACCTCACAGGGTTTTAAGTTTTGCTTTTGTGTGACTCTGGGGTGAGCCTGCAGAGTTGTTCTTGCTTGCACCTGTCTGGGCAGTGGACTCGGCACTGTGTTGCCAAACGCAGCCTCCCCTTGGTGCGCGTCCTCCCCGTCCCCTTGTGTGGGTCTTTGGCTGCTCCCATTGGCGTGTCCCCGCCCGAGGCCTCTGTGTCCTGCTGCTGCTCCCATCTGTGTGTCCCCGCTGAGGCTTCTGGGTCCAGCCACTGCTCCCGTCTGTCTGTCCCCGCCCCAGGCCTCTGAGTCCTGCTGCTGCTCCCGTCTTTGTGTCCCCACTCGAGGCCTCTGGGTTGTGCTGCTGTGTCCTGAAGCTCTGAACTGGTTTGGCTCTGCTCTGGAGACCACCCAGGGTCCGGAGACCAGGTCGGGCTTATGGGACCCTCTGAGCTCACAGCTGTTTCTGGAGCATTGGTGTCTGTCATGCTGAGGGTCCATCCGTGTGTGGGGGGTGTCTGTGCAGGTCTCTCTTTGTTCTTTTCATCAAGTTTTGTGATTTTTCTGTGAGGACCTTGCCTTCTGTAGCACTTGGCTGTGGGTGTCTCGTAGCTTGGTGCTGACTCTCTCCAGTCACCCAGGTCAGTGGGCGAGCGAGAGCTCTAAACCGAGGGGCACAGCGGCCAGTGGGGCGGTCTGTGCTCTTAACTCGAGGGGTGCAGAGGTGGGTGGTGGGCGGGGTAGTCCCAGGCTCTAAACACAAGGGGTGCAGAGGTGAGCCCACGGTCCCTGGACACTGGAGAGGCTGCCTGTCTTGAGGTGGGGTGGCTGCAGACGCCCTGATGCCTGCAGGAGTTGGGCATTTTGGGGGGTGGAAGTGTGCTGGGGAGCAGGTGGCATTCTCTCCGTCAAGCCCCTCCTCAGGACTCCCCCTCCCTGTTATTTGCCCAGAATCTTCGGTTTCGCGGGGCCTGCACGACACTGCCTCCCGTTGTCACCTCACGGTCCCCACGAATGAGTCCTCATCGTCTGCTCCTCAGGGTTGGGCTCTCTGGGGACAGAGCTGTGAGCAGAGTAGAGGGAGGGCTGGCTGTGTAGTCACTGGGTCAACGTGCCTGTCCTCAGCGGCGTCACAGCTCCTAAATCATAGTGCAGGGAGCGAGATGTGGAGGGGCCTGTGGCCTCGGGAGCCCCTGTGTGTAAAAACAGAAGCATCCCAGCCGGGCGCAGTGGCTCACGCTTGTAATCCCAGCACTTTGGGAGGCTGAGGCGGGTGGATCATGAGGTCAGGAGATCGAGACCATCCTGGCTAACATGGTGAAACCCCATCTCTACTAAAAATACAAAAAATTAGCCGGGCGTGGTGACAGACGCCTGTAGTCCCAGCTACTCGGGAGGCTGAGGCAGGAGAAAGGCGTGAACCCGGGAGGTGGAGCTTGCAGTGAGCCAAGATCGTGCCACTGCACTCCAGCCTGGGCGACAGAGCGAGACTCCATCTCAAAAAAAAAAAAAGACAGAAGCATCCCAGACCGCACGTCCACGAGGCCTAGCGAGAGGCTGGGAGACACCATCCTCTTCCTGCCACACAACTCCTGTGAATGTGTGGCTGAGGCGTGACTTGGTGTTGGACAGACATCTTGTGAAATGGCTGGCTGGTGCACCCTGTGCTCCAGGGGAGGGGCGGAGCCTGTGTGCTGCTCCCGGGTGATTGACGCTGTGCGGCCACATCGCACACCTGCGGGACGGGTTTGCCGTGTTCCTAATGTGATGCCTTTTACACATCAGAAATGGCATCAGGAAGACCTCACCTAGGAAAGCCCGTGTCCCTGAGTGGGCTCCACGTGGTTGTCTTGTCTGTGGCCTCAGCTTCCTGTGCTCACATGGGCATGAGGATCATGTCTTCCGGCCCCGTGGGGACAGGCAGCCGTGGGCCGAGGTGTGCAAACTGGTGGGCGGCCCCTCAGCAGCATCCAGGGTGGGGGTTCTTATGCCGTGACCAGCTTGCCTGATGATGGGTGTCTCCTGTCTCAGAGGGGCCCTCCAGGACGCCCTGCGCAGGCTGCTGGGTTTGTTTGGAGAGACGCTGAGGGCAGCCGTCACCCTGAGGAGCCGGATCGGGGAGCGCGTGGGGCTCTGCCTGGATGACGCGGGCGCAGGCCTGGCCCTGTCGACAGGTGAGTGTGCCGGGACCAGCTGCCCAGCCCTGTGCTTGCAGCCCCTCTGTGGTCCTGGAGCTCTCTGAGAGGAGCCTCCGTATTGGGCGATGCCCTTGGGAGCACTGCCGTCCTGGTTTCCTGCTAGTTTCCGCACTTACAGAAGGCCGAGACCGGGGTTTGGGCTAAATTTGTCAGCTCCCGTGGACGTGGCGCTGACTCATCTCGGCTGGGGCGACGTTCTGAGTTCTGTGGCTTCCTTGTCGTCTTGGCTGCCATGGCCGCGGCCGGCTTGCTCACTGAGCCGCGTGTGCCGGCATCTGCTCATCTTGTAGCTCCGGCGCTGGAGGAGACATGGTCTGATGTGGCCCTCCCGGAGTTGGACAGAACTTTGTCTGAATGTGCAGAGATGTCTTCCGTGGCTGAAATTAGCAGCCACATGCGTGAAAGCTTTCTCATGAGCCCAGAAAGTGTGCGGGAGTGTGAGCAGCCCATCCGGAGGGTCTTCCAGAGCCTCAGCCTGGCCGTGGACGGCCTCATGGAGATGGCCCTGGACTCCAGCAGGCAGGTGAGGCCCAGGCTCCCGGGGTCCTGTGGAGATGTGAACAACTGAGTAGCTGATGATGCCACACGAGCCTGGTGGATGCCGGTGCCAACGACGCTCGCACGGGTTTCTCCCCAAGGAGGAGGCTTTTCTGAACCAGATCTTTGAGGAAGTGGGCTTGCTACGAATGAGAGAATCTGTTTGTTTAATTTGGATAATAAACAGGCCCATTTTCTTTACTTCATGCACTGTTGCAATTCCATGTGGAGTGTTTTCATATTTAGAGATTATCACTAAGAAAGGAAATTTTTTGTAACCGTTTTAGAACATTTTAGACAATTAAAAAAGACATTAAGTAGGAATACACGGAAAGCAATCAAAGATCTTTTTTTCAGCCAGGCACAGCGGCTCACTCCTGCAGTCCCAGCACTTTGGGAGGCTAAGGTAGGAGGTTCACTTCAGCCTACTTCAGCCCACGAGCTCATCTTGTAGCTCTGGCGCTGGAGGAGATGTGGTCTGATGTGGCCCTCCCGGAGTTGGACAGAACTTTGTCTGAATGTGCAGAGATGTCTTCCGTGGCTGAAATTAGCAGCCACATGTGTGAAAGCTTTCTCATGAGCCCAGAAAGTGTACGGGAGTGTGAGCAACCCATCCGGAGGGTCTTCCAGAGCCTCAGCCTGGCCGTGGACGGCCTCATGGAGATGGCCCTGGACTCCAGCAGCCAGCCTGGGCAACATAGCGAGACCTCATTTTAAGTTAGCCAGGCGTGGTGGCATGCGTCTGCGGTCCCAGCTCCTCAGGAGGCTGAGGCAGGAGGATTGCTTGATCCTGGGAGGCTGAGGCTGCCGTGAGTTGTGGTTGCACCACTGCACTCCAGCCTGGGTGCAGAGCAAGACCCTATCTCAAAAATGAAAATAAAAATTCTTTTTTGCTAAGTTTTGAGTTCAGAGGTAACTCTGGGTCTCAGCCTGTAGATGGCCTGGGAGCCCCAGACTGGACACAGTTGCCAGGGGAGTGTCTGGAGGAAGGGAGAGGGGCCCAGGGCTGAACTGGGAGGCTGAGGAGGGGTCCTCATTGGAGACTGTGGCCACAGTGTCTCGGAGGGTGGCTGAGATGTGCTCAGGTCCCGTCACCCTGGCCTGGCCCTGCCTGGGTGGTGACGGCCTGAAGGGTCTGGGGGTAGAAGTGGCGTTCTCTTGGTCTTAATGTAGGCTTCAGTTATTTTTGATCTGGAGTTTTGATTTGCAAATGTGTTTTAACAGCTGGAAGAAGCACGCCAAATTCATTCTCGTTTTGAAAAAGAATTTAGTTTTAAGAATGAGGAGACAGCACAGGTTGTCAGGAAGCACCAGGAGCTGCTGGAGTGTTTGAAGGAGGAGAGCGCAGCAAAGGCAGAGCTGGCGCTGGAGCTGCACAAGACTCAGGGTGAGCAGCATGAGGCCTCGGGGCACCTGGAGCACAGGCACGGGGAGCAGGCCTGGCCTCACTGAGGGAAGGAAGCCTTCAGAATAGGGTTTTTAAAGTGAAATGTAAAAACAAAGCCAACATGGGAGGCACCCATGGTTTGGGAGGAATGGGGTGGTCGGGAGCTGCTGCGGCCAGCAGGGCTGTTGGAGGCCTACACCTGGGTCCTGGAAGCTGCTGGCTCTTAGCTCTGCTGCTCTCAGGGGCAGTGGCCCCGTCCCTTCCTCCAAGCAGGCTCTCCTCAGTTACACCCAGGACTGGCTTTGTCAGAGCATCTGTGTCTCCCACAAAGGTACCCTTGAGGGATTCAAGGTGGAGACAGCAGATCTGAAGGAGGTGCTGGCCGGGAAGGAGGATTCCGAGCACCGTCTGGTGCTGGAGCTGGAGAGCCTGAGACGGCAGCTGCAGCAGGCGGCCCAGGAGCAGGCGGCGCTGAGGGAGGAGTGCACCCGTCTGTGGAGTCGGGGGGAGGCCACAGCCACGGACGCCGAGGCCAGAGAAGCTGGTAAGGAGCGCGGGCTGTGGAGGGTGGTGCGAGCTGTGGGGCGCGGATACAGCTGCCACGGTTTCCCCAGCTCCCAAGGACACTCAGTGTCTCTAGAGGGTCAAGTGTAAACCAGCACGCAGCTTCTCCTGGAACACTGGGCATGGGAAGCTTGTGCGGATCAGGTGAGGCATCCACTGGCTTTGCTGCCCTTTCAGAGAAGGCGGGTTGTCTGTCGGTCCTGCTGGTTGGAGGGTCCCCACCTCTGTGAGGTGGAAATAAGAGGGGCTCTGAGTCCAACAGCAGCAGCTGGAGGCAGAGCCGAGTGCGGCAAACAAGAGCTACTTTAAAATTTCATTTAAAATAACCAAGTGCCTGATATTAACCCTCATTAGGAAAACATAGTGTTAACAATATTAGTTTGTATCTTTTCAGATTTTTAGATATTTTAGTCTCAAAGGTATTTAAAATGAAAACTGTCAAAACATAAGTTTAAAATGTCGAGCCTGCAGGGAGCTGCGTCCTCAGTAGCTGGTTCAGCTCGAGCAAAGGCTTTTCACATTGCATTCGTGCATCTCAGGCACGTGGGAGGCAGAGGGGCCTGCGCTTCTCTAAAAGTTCCTTCCAGGATGGCCGTGGCCTCGGGGTCATCCCTTCAGAACACAGATTGGAGTTAGAAGCTTGGGCATCGCAGGCACCACCTCAGCCAATTCAGAAGTCTCATTTATTATTATTATTATTTTTTTACATTTTTCTCTTTAGAAAACAACCAGCTTTTGATTTTTGTGGCCATTCTCATTTGCTGTCTTCTGTCTTGCTGATTTTTGCCCTTGTTC